>NW_016107301.1:0-170206 GCF_000001405.40 Homo sapiens | reverse complement strand
TACATGTTGAAATGATAATATTTTGAGTCTACTTGTATAATAAAATAATATTTTGGATCTATTAGGTTAATATTTTGGGTCTGTTGGGTTAATAATATTTTGGGTCCATTGGGTTAACTTAAATTAATTTTATCTGTTTCTTGTTAGCTTTTTAATTTGGATACTAGCAAGTTTGAAAGAATGCATGTGGTTTGCATTATGTTTCTATAGGACAGAACTTACCTGTAGATGTAAGGGAGTCACAACAAAATTACAAGCATTGTTTTTGGTGGAAATGAGAAAAATGATTACAAATTTACATGGAAAAGCAAATAGCCAATAATAATAATAATGGCAATCTTAAAGAGGAAGGAGAAATTAGAGGATTCAGGCTGCCAAATTTTAAGGGGTTCTATAAGGCCACATAAAGTGCAGCATCCTCATGAGAGTGGACACAGAGAGCCACTGAGCAGAAAAGAGTGTGTAAAATACATCTGTGTACACACAGTCCTTTTATAGTTGACAGAGGCTGCCATGCGGATTAAGGTGGAATAGAATGTCTTCTCAGTAAATAACATTGGACCAGAGGGTTACAAGCAGGAAAAAATAAATCTAAGCTTATTTTCACACCATAAAAACACTGCTAATTTTTTATCTTATTATCATACATTTTGATGATTTATTTATAAAATTGATGAATGAAAATTATATACAGTAGTCCTTCACTATTCATGGGTGATTGGTTCCAGGAAACCCCCCTCCCTACCAGACACCAAAATCTGCAGATGCTCAAGCCTGTTGCATGAAATGGCACAGCATTTGCATATAACCCATGCACATCCTCCTGTATACATGAAATCATCTCTAGATTACTTATAATTCCTGATACAGCCTACACACCACCTCACTTGTGTCCACACAATATAGTATTTTTGCTTTTTGGAACTTTGTGGATTTTTTCTCTGAATATTTTTGATTTATATTTGGTTCAATAAACACCTGTAAACCCCACAGATATGGAGGAGCGACTGTATATTTATAGTATGAAAGATGATGTGTTGACATGTGTCCCTGTGGAGATGAGACTAACAAGGCCTATGACTCTACAAATGTTTCATCTTGGAATGACTCTGCCAGCTTTCCAGGTCTGCAGAGAGTAAGAATATCACTTGTTCATGTGATTCACGATCCTTGGAACCTCCTATGTGCTGCATCTTTGGATGGAAATTGGAGTCCCAGAGACAAATGAGGCTCCACCCTGCTTCCAGAAGCTCAGAGTCCAGGGCTGAGAACCCAGTAGAGAACATATCAGGTTATATGGACATAGTAATGATAACACTGGAAACTTTTGGCGAATAAAGAGTCACATTATCGAAACCATGAGGGCAGACATGTTTATTTGAAGAGGAGAGAGCTACACTGAAGTTATAAAAAAAATTTATAAATTTTACTGATGACAGAAGGCTGAAAGATAGTCTGAGGGGAGGTGGAACAGCATGAGGGAAGGTGGAACAGCAAGTGTGTAAGTGCCGTGTTAAGAGGGAGCCTCTTGCATGTTTGGAATTGTGAGTTCCTCAGTGTGATTGCAGCCTCAAGTAGGACTAGGAAGTAAGCCAGTTAGGTTGGAGAGGTGGGCAGGGGTCAAGTGAAATAGATACTTGTGGGCTAAGCAAAGGAGTGTGTTTTCTCTGCAGCAGGCAGTGGCGACCTTAGGCATTTGTAAGCAAGAGAGAGGCATGTTCAGATTCGTGGTGTGAGGAAGAGCGATCCCCTAAGATGCAGACTGATGCCTTCAGATTCCAGCTGCTGGTTCATTGGATCTGGCAACCTGGTTTTGAGACAGGGCTGTTGTCTCCCTAGAAAACCCCCTCAAGACCTGACTGTGGTGCTCGTGGGCAGGAGACAACTTTGGATCTGGGCTCAGCATTTGGAAGTTCCGTGTACACGCTGGTATCTGTTAGGGGTGTCTTGGGCCTCTGAGAAGGGCGACTGATTTTTCTCTGTATGAAAACGCAGTGATCCAACTGTGCGTACATCACCTCCTGAGGGTCTTGTTCATCAGAGTCCTGGAGAGAGGGAAATGCTGAGTGAGGGAGGGTGCTCACATTTTTCAGGACTATTAGGGATAAGACTGTATCCGTGAGGCTGGGCCGAGGAGGACCTACCTGCCTATTCACTGTTCTGTCCCCCGCAGGCTCTTGGTCCATTACAGCAGCATCTGTAGGAGACGGAAGTCATCAAAACCGCTTGGAGGGCCCTTCTGGGTCCTCATTTCATGGGCAGACACCAACCCACAGGGGGAGGCTGTAGGTGCCTGAGGCTCTTCAGCTGCCAACATCCAGACTCAGACATTCTATCTCTCTGAGTTCAAGACCCCATCCCATGAAGTGCTCTCAATTGGCATCCCATTGATTCTGTCTCCCACTTTCTGCCTGTCATGGAAGCTTCTGGATGTCAGTAGCTGCAGGGGATGTGAGGATACAGTTCAGAACCAGGCAATGGTCTGTGAGCTGAAGGCAGGGGCAGGTTGTCTGGTGCTCTCTCTAGAAAGCCCTGCCTCTGTGGCTCCTCCCTTGGGCCAGGGACCATCCTGCCAGTGAGGAACACACACCCGCGTGCTCCCATCCTGCTTCCCCACATGGCCCTGAGCTCTCTGGCCTCTGCTTCGTGAGACTTACTCTTTTTGTTGGAGCACCAGCGATAAAGGAGAAAGAAGAGGAGGAGGATGAAGAGGAAGATGACCACTGAGGTCCCAATCAGAACATGCAGGTGTCTGCAGATACCTGGAGGAAGATGGGAATCCAATAAGAAGCTAATCATAGCAGTTCCTCTTTATGGATTGTCTCATTTCTTGATTGACAGGTAACCACATGGAACATCTCCTTAGGACAAGCAGCCTGATGGCGGGAGACCCAGCTTTCTCCTGCTTTCTCAGTTACAGCTCTCATAGAAACCATAGAACATGCTGAGGATACAGCTGCTTTAGTTTAGATGTTTGACCCTTTGAAACCTCACACTGAAATATTGAAATTTAACCCCCAGTGTGGAAGTTTGGGCCTATGGGAAGGTGTTTGAGTCATGGAGGTGGATCCATCATGAATAGATTAATGCTGCCCCACATGATGGGGTTAGCAAGTTCCCCCTCTATTAGTTCCCGGAGGGCTGGTTGTTAAAAAGAGCTTGGAAGCTCCATCGCTCGCCCTCCCCCTTGCTCCCTCTCTTGCCATGTGATCTCTGTGGTCTCTGCACAGACAGACCCTCCTTCCCTTCTGCCAGAGTGGGAGCAGCCTGAGGCCGTCACAGGAAACAGATGCTGGTGCCATGCTTCCAGTACAGCCTGCAGAACTGTGAGGCAAACAAATCTGTTTTCTCTAGAAGTTGCCCAGGCTCTGGGATGCAAGGCTGGTTCAATATATGCAAATCAATAAATGTAATCCATCATATAAACAGAACCAAAGACAAAAACCGGACGACTATCTCAATAGATGCAGAAAAGGCCTTTGACAAAATTCAACAACGCTTCATGCTAAAAACTCTCAATAAATTAGGCATTGATGGGACGTATCTCAAAATAATAAGAGCCATCTATAACAAACCCACAGCCAGTATCATACTGAATGGGCAAAAACTGGAAGCATTCCCTTTGAAAACTGGCACAAGACAGGGATGCCCTCTTTCACCACTCCTATTCAACATAGTGTTGGAAGTTCTGGCCAGGGCAATTAGGCAGGAGAAGGAAATAAAGGGTATTCAATTAGGAAAAGAGGAAGTCAAATTGTCCCTGTTTGCAGATGACATGATTGTATATATAGAAAACCCCATTGTCTCAGCCCAAAATCTCCTTAAGCTGATAAGCAGCTTCTACAAAGTCTCAGGATACAGAATCAATGTACAAAAATCACAAGCATTCTTATACACCAATAACAGACAAACAGAGAGCCAAATCATGAGTGAACTCCCATTCACAATTGCTTCAAAGAGAATAAAATACCTAGGAATCCAACTTACAAGGGATATGAAGGACCTCTTCAAGGAGAACTACAAACCACTGCTCAATGAAATAAAAGAGGATACAAACAAATGGAAGAACATTCCATGCTCATGGGTAGGAAGAATCAAGATCGTGAAAATGGCCATACTGCCCAAGGTAATTTATAGATTCAATGCCATCCCCATCAAGCTACCAATGACTTTCTTCACAGAATTGGAAAAAACTACCTTAAAGTTCATATGGAATCAAAAAAGAGCCTGCATTGCCAAGTCAATCCTAAGCCAAAAGAACAAAGCTGGAGGCATCATGCTGCCTGACTTCAAACTATACTACAAGGCTACAGTAACCAAAACAGCATGGTACTGGTACCAAAACAGAGATATAGATCAATGGAACAGAATAGAGCCCTCAGAAATAATGCCACATATCTACAACTATGTGATCTTTGACAAACCTGAGAAAAACAAGCAATGGGGAAAGGATTCCCTATTTAATAAATGGTGCTGGGAAAACTGGCTAGCCATAGGTAGAAAGCTGAAACTGGATCCCTTCCTTACACCTTATACAAAAATTAATTTGAGATGGATTAAAGACTTAAACGTTAGACCTAAAACCATAAAAACCCTAGAAGAAAACCTAGGCATTACCATTCAGGACATAGGCATGGACAAGGACTTCATGTCTAAAACACCAAAAGCAACGGCAACAAAAGCCAAAATTGACAAACGGGATCTAATTAAACTAAAGAGCTTCTGCACAGCAAAAGAAACTACCATCAGAGTGAACAGACAACCTACAAAATGGGAGAAAATTTTCGCAACCTACTCATCTGACAAAGGGCTAATATCCAGAATCTACAATGAACTCAAACAAATTTACAAGAAAAAAACAAACAATCCTATCAAAAAGTGGGCAAAGGACATGAACAGACACTTCTCAAAAGAAGACATTTATGCAGCCAAAAAACACATGAAAAAATGCTCACCATGACTGGCCATCAGAGAAATGCAAATCAAAACCACAATGAGATACCATCTCACACCAGTTAGAATGGCGATCATTAAAAAGTCGGGAAACAACAGGTGCTGGAGAGGATGTGGAGAAATAGGAACACTTTTACACTGTTGGTGGGACTGTAAACTAGTTCAACCATTGTGGAAGTCAGTGTGGCGATTCCTCAGGGATCTAGAGCTTGAAATACCATTTGACCCAGCCATCCCATTACTGGGTATAAACCCAAAGGACTATAAATCATGCTGCTATAAAGACACATGGACACGTATGTTTATTGTGGCACTATTCACAATAGCAAAGACTTGGAACCAACCCAAATGTCCAACAATGATAGACTGGATGAAGAAAATGTGGCACATATACACCATGGAATACTATGCAGCCATAAAAAATGATGAGTTCATGTCCTTTGCAGGGACATGGATGAAATTGGAAATCATCATTCTCAGTAGACTATCACAAGGACAAAAATCCAAACACCGCATGTTCTCACTTATAGGTGGGAATTGAACAATGAGAACACATGGACACAGGAAGGGGAACATCACACTCTGGGGACTGTTGTGGGGTGGGGGAGGGGGGAGGGATAGCATTAGGAGATATACCTAATGCTAAATGACGAGTTGATGGGTGCAGCACACCAGCATGGCACATGTATACATATGTAACTAACCTGCACATTGTGCACATGTACCCTAAAACTTAAAGTATAATAATAATAAAAATTTTAAAAAAAAGCTCATCAGAAGCACTATACAAAAAAAAAAAAAAAAAAAAAGAAGTAACCCAGGCTCAAGTGTTCTTTTATAGCAACAAAAATGGACTAAGACAGCAACGTCCTGAGATCAGGAGGAACGTCTCAGAACAGCCTGTGCTGTCTTCCTGTTCTTCCTGGAGGAGGACGTCATGCAGTGCTTTAGCTGAGTGCTTCCTGTGGCTTCAGGGTACAAAACCCAGGCTGGGCTATTTTCTGGCTTCCCCCAGATACACTGCAAATGAGGTGACTCCATATGTCCCGAGCAGCTTTTCTGAGCCTTGAGGGACTGGCTCACGTTGAAATGTAGGCTTCTGTTGTCACTCGCTGCTTATCTGTTAGTAATGAACCTGCCTATGTAACGTATTCTCTGTGTGTTCTGTCTCCCTGGAGTGACGGTGAGTGATAGAAATTGGCATAGGCCCAGGTGCAGTACAGCAGGTGTTTAGAGTCTTCTCTGGAAAGACTGGACTGGGATTGATACACAGTGAATGTGCTTTACAGTTTCTACATCCACAACCCTCTTGACTCAAATTACATTCTCCAAGAAAAGGACACAAAAGTGAAATCAAGATCAAAAAAGCAAAGTAGAATTCTCTTATGTCAAACAGCCAGGAAATAATGATGAAGCCCATGTGAAACGTGCTACTCTTTGTGATCTCGCGAGACACATGTTAGGCTGCTGTTCCACCTGAGAGGCTGGGGGAAAGACCACCCCCTCCACCATCTATTGCTTCAAAACCACCTGTCCTCCTGTGAATTAGTAGGAAAGGGGAGCAGGAGCTAGTGCTGGTGCTGATCTCTGATTCCAAGATCTGAACTCACTCCAAGGAGTATTAGCGTTTACCTCCCCATGATCTATCTGTATCTCCACAGGTGATTGGAAGTAGGGGTGAGGTGGGGGATTTGGGTGAGGGGGAAAGTTTCTTGTGATGAACAGAGCACTTTCCCTATTTCAGGGCCTGTGCTGGTGGGTTCAGGGGGCTTTCATATTTTCCATATGATCTCATGTTCACAGAAAGCCAAATATGGAAGAGGTTTTAGGCTGATTTTCTAATGGATAAGATAAAGGATCAAAGAAGTAATTATAGAGGAATAGAAAAATGATGATTGGAATTCAGGTGCCTGCATCATTTGTGTATATTATTATATTTATGTATTTTTTATTTTTATTTTTTGAGACAGAGTATCCCTGTGTAGCCCAGGCTGGTGTGCAGTGATGCGATCTCCACTCACTGCAACCTCTGCCTCCAGGGCTGAAGTCATTCTCCTGCTTCCTCCTCCAGAGTAGCTGGGATTACAGTCATGCACCACCATCATGCCTGTTTAATTTTTGTATTTTTAGTAGAGATAGGGTTTCTCCATGTTGGCCAGGCTGGTCTCGAACTCCTGACTTCATGTGATCCACCCGCGTTGGCCTCCTGAAGTGCTGGGTTACAGGCGTGAGCCACCGTTCACAGCCTTGTATATTATGCTATACTAGGTCCCTTCATTTGCACCACCCCTCATCTAGCTCTCCCTCCTCTGCCAGGTATTGATTTAGATGCAGGAGAAATAAATCTCAGAAATAAGTTAGTGAAGCGAGGATTAAACTACCAGGAAAAATTAAACCCAGCAAGCCTTTCCAGCCAATGATTCTACCTCACAAACATATCTTATATCCATCTACTTCATTCATTTAGTGTCTAAATCAGCACCACATTTCACCAGTGGGGCGGCAATTGCCTTTTCCACGGTCTCCTAGATTCCAGTTATGCAACTGAGCCTCCCTTATTTTCATGTCAGTCATATTAATCATGTAGGGATTCCTGGTTACCTCGAGGTGAATCCAATGGCTGTGAGTGTCAAACACACGCTCCTTGTTGCTCCTTAGTTTCCTGTGTACCCAGTGTGCTCTCCGTCTCTCTACAGTCATCTTGTCATTCTCCCCACCTCATTCCCAGCATTTCAGGCAGAGCCTCTTCCTTCCACATCAGATTGTTTTCACCTTTGTGCCTTCACGGCTGACAGCTGTGTGTGCAAAATCCTTCCGCCAATCTTTCAGGGGTTCAATCCGTGTTTTTCATTAATGTCACAAATATCTGATTAGTGAGAACTTCTCTGTCACCTGAAATAATACACTCAGCATTATCTATTATTGATTTGAAAATTTGGCTTGGCCCCGTGGCTCATGCCTCTTATCCCAGCGTGTTGGGAGGCAGAGGCTATTGGATCACCTGAGGTTGGGAATTTGAGACCAGCCTGGCCAACATGGTGAAACATCCTCTCTACAGAAAATATGCAAAAAGAGTTAGCCGGGCGTGGTGGTTGTGGTCTGTAATCCCAGCTACTGGAGAGGCTGAGGGAGGAGATCAGTTCAGCCCAGGAGGTGGAGGTTGCAGTGAGCCGAGATCATGCCACCGCACTCTAGCCTGGACGACAGAGCAAGGCTCCGTCTCAATAAACAAGTAGGTAAATACATAAATAAATAGATTTCATGCACAGATGCTTCTCAATAGATCATTCATTTATTGGTCCCCTTGTGCCTACATTTTCTGCCCTCCCATTTAACCATCTGCAAGATCAGTGTCCCAAGAACAGAGGCCAAATGCATCTTGTTCACTGTTTGTGGAAGGCAGGAGAATGTTGTCCCACCCCAAAAATGTCCATGTCCTAGCCTCCATAGCTTGTGAATATGTTATTTTACATGAAAGGAGGAATGAAGATTGCAGATGGAATTATGGTTGCTAGTCAGCTGAACTTAAAAGGAGGGTATCCTGGATGATTTCCGGGAGATTATGATGGATTTTCATCTTGGTGAACCCAATAGAATCCCCAAGTTTTCAAAAGAAGGGCAAGAAGGGAGAGCAGCATTCAGAGAAAGAGGTGTGGTAAGGAAGAAGGGTCTGAGTGATGCCATGTGAGATGTGACCAGTCTTTGTGGGCTTTGAGGAAGGAGGAAGGGTACCAGGAGCCAAGGAACATGGGAGCCTCTAGAAGCTGAGAAAAGTGAGAAGCAGATTCTTGCCTGGAACCCTCAGAGGGAAGGCAGCCTTGCTGTCACCTTGATTTTAGCCCAGTGACATGCACGTCATGCTTTGAGCTACAGCACTGTAAGATAATTAAATAACCGTTTTGTTTTCACACACGAATCTTGTGGAAATTTGTTATGGCAACAATAGGAAAAGCTTCCACACTGCACAGCCTGAGCATGGGGCTGTGGCTGAATGAGTCACTGAGTCGAAGTGTGCGTGCATGAGCTCTGTTCTCTGTTACGGCAAGGCTCTTGCTCTGCTGAGTCAGCCAGGGTTGCCTGATGACCAACAGTAATTCATTCCTTGGCAAGTGGAACTTCTCTAAAACACCCACCCTCATCAGATGTTCCCTTCCCTTCCCTCTCTCAAGCCCCCGGGAATTTATCCTCCAGTTAGGAATGCAGGCAGAAAAAACACTGCATTTTTCCTGAGAAGGATGTCAGATTGGCAATTATTCTTCTAGCTTGTAGGAGGTCTCACCTGCAGGAAATTAAAGGTAAAGAGACTTCGCTGAGCCCTTTGGTGGCCCTAGATCCCTTTCACTGTTGGAGTGTCTGGAGTTCAGAGATGGTGGAAGACAGGCCCTCATTCACAGAGCTGGGAGGTTTGAGCCAACACTTGCATCCAAGGCTTCCACCTCCCCAGGTTTCCAAAAGCAGAGATAAGAGGGGTCCTTTACTCACCAGATTTGGAGCTTGGTTCTGTGGGTGAAGGCCAACTACTTGAAGGGTTTCCTAGAACACGGGACAGGAGAGATGTGAGGAAATGAGGGTGCTTGTCCTCTACTCAATGGAAATCTTTGAGGTTGGTTCATGGCCAACACTCTGTTATCTAATGTTGGACCCTGGGAGTCTTGGGATCCTTTTCTCCATAATTTTTGTGTGCGATGCCCACTGTCTTGAGACTTGAAGGTATAAAGAGAAAACAGGAGCATCACACTACCTGACTTAGAAATATGTTACAGAGCTGTAGTAAGCAAAACAGCATGACATTGGCATAAAGAAAGGCACATAAAAAATGGAACAGAATGGAGAACACAGATATAATCCATGCATTTACATCCAATGGCTTTCTTTTGTGTGTGTGTGATAGAATCTTGCTCTGTCATGCAGGCTGGAGTGTAGAGGTGCAATCTCAGCTCAATGCAACCTCCACTTCCTGGATTCAAGAAATTCTCTTGCTTCAAACTCCTGAGTAGTGGTATTACAGGCACTGATCACCATGCTCAGCTAATTTTTGTATTTTTAGTAGAGACGAGGTTTCACTCTGTTGGCCAGCCTGGTCTTGAACTCCTGGCTTTAGGTGATCCACCCGCCTCGGCCTCCCAAAGTGCTGGAATTGCAGGTGTGAGCCACCATACCCAGCCCATTTAATGGACTTTGACAAAGGTGCCGAGAACTTACAATCAGGAAAGGACAGTCTTCAATAAATGGTGTGGGGAAAACTGGATATCTACATGCAGAGGAATAAAACTGCATCTATACCTGTCACCTTACACAAAAATCAAATGAAAATGGATTAAAAACATGAGTCTAAGGCCTGAACCTATGAAACATGTAGAAGAAAATAATGGGGAAGACATTTGTCTGACGAAAGACATTTTGTTTAAAACCTTCAAAACACAAGTAATCAAAGCAAAAAATAGACCATTAGGATTACATCAAACCAAGCAACTTCTGCACCACCAAAGATAAACCAACAAAGTGAAGAGACAACCCACAAAATAGGAGCAAATATTTGCAAACTATTCATCTGAGATGGGATTAATAACTGGAAATATAAGAAGCTCAAACAACTCAATAAAACAATTTAATTAAAAAACGAGCAAAAGACATGAGGAGACATTTCTCCACAAACAAAACATAGAAATGGCGATCACGTATATGAAAAAGTGCTCAGCATCACTCATCATCACAGAAATGTAAATTACAATCGCGATGAGTTTTCATCTCATCCCATTAAAATGCCTTTTAGGCCGGTGGCTCACGCCTGTAATTCCAGCACTTTGGGAGGCGGAGGTGGGCGGATCACCTGAGGTCGGGAGACCAGCCTGACCAACATGGAGAAACTCCCTCTCTACTAAACATACAAAAATTAGCTAGGCGTGGTGGCACATGCCTGTAATCCCAGCTACTTTGGAGGCTGAGGCAGGAGAATCAGTTGAACGCGGGAGGCAGAGGTTGCAGTGAGCCGAGATCACACCCTTGCACTCCAGCCTGGGCGACTATGAGTGAAACTCCATCTCAACATAAATAAATAAATAAATAAAGTAAAGTAAAATGGCTTTTATCTGCAAGACAGGCAAAACAAATGCTGGCAAGATGGTAGAGAAAGGAGAACCCTGGTACCCTGTTGGTAGGAATGTAAATTAGTACAACTATTATGGAGAAAAGTATGGAAAATCTTTAAAAAACTAAAAGGAGGCTGGGCATAGTGGCTTATGCCTGTAACTTCAGCACTTTGGGAAACCGAGGCAGGCACCTCACTTGAGGTCAGGAGTTTGAGAGCAGCCTGCCCAAAATTGGGATATCCCGTCTGTGCTAAAAAATACAAGAATTAGTCAGGCATGGTGGCGTGCACCTGTAATCACAGCTATTAGGGAGGCTGAGTCAGGAGAATCGTTTGAACCTAGGAAGCAGAGGTTGCAATGAGCCAAGATCGCACCACTTTGACTCCAGCTTGGACTAAGGAGGGAAACTCTTTCTCAAAAAAGAAAAAAAAAAAAAGAGAACTTTCATAGTGTCCAGCAATTTCACTACTGGGTTTATATCCAAAGGAAAGGACATCAGTGTATCGAAGTGATATCTGCACTCATATGACTGTTCCAGCACTGTTCACAGTAGCCAAGATGTGGAGTCAACCTACCTGCCTATCAGTGGGTGAATGGATAGAGAACTGTAGTACACACACACGGTGGAGACTACTCATCCATAGAAACAATAACATCCTGTCATTTGCAGCCACATGGATGGAACTGGAGGTCATTACAAAGATTCCCATTTCTCACCACATGCAGGAGATAAAAGGTGGATCTCATGAAGGTAGAGAATAGAATGGTGGATACCAGAGGCCAGGAAGGGAAGGGTGGAAGGTAACAAAAAAAAGAATATAGATGTATTTATTTATTTAGAAACAGAGTCTCTCTCTGTCTCCCAGGCTGCAGTGCAGTGGCATGATCTCGGCTCAGTGCAACCTCTGCCTCCTGGCTTTAAGTGCTTCTCCTGCCTCAGCCTCCCAAGTAGCTAGGACTACAGGTGCATGCCGGCATGCTTGGCTAATTTTTCTTGTCTGTTTAGTAAAGATGAATTTCCCACATGTTGGCCAGGCTGATCTCGAGTCCCTGATCTTAAATGATCCACCTTTCTTGGCCTCTCAAAGCGCCAAGATTACAACCGTGAACCACCACACCCAGCATATAAAGGTATTTATGACCACTAGATTTTACTTTTAAAAATGGTAAAGTTGGTAAATTATATAGTTACATTTAACCTCAATAAATATTTTTGAAAATGAAAAGAAAAGAGTGTAGGGGTTGCTGGTGATGACATCTCTCTGTGTGGGTGAGAGGCCAGGATGGGCTTCTGGGAAATGGGTAAGGTTGAGGGGCTGAGGGAACCTCTGATCTCCCCAAACTGAGCCCAGTCTCCCCTTCTCTGGGTCTGTCCTGACCGCTTTCTCCATCTGCCTGGGTGCCTGGAGCCCTGACCATGGGCCTCCATGCAGGCCATGCAAGAGGGTTTGGAGGTGCCCTGTCTGCCATCCTGCACCCTGACCCCCCCTCACACCCAGTCTTCGTGTTCTCTCTGCATCTGTCCATGCTTCTCCCCATCATCGGCAGGAAGCTCCTCAGCTATGGCTCTAGGATCATAAGACATGGGACAGACACGGGTTTTCCTCACCTGTGACAGAAACAAGCAGTGGGTCACTTGAGTTTGACCACACGCAGGGCAGGGCACGGAAAGAGCCGAAGCATCTGTAGGTCCCTCCGTGGGTGGCAGGGCCCAGAGGAAAGTCTGCCTGGAATGTTCTGTTGACCTTGGGCACTGCACGGAGCCTACGTTCATGGGCCTCCCCTTCCCTGGACAGATGGTAGATGTCATAGGAGCTCCAGGAGCTACAGGACAAGGTCACGTTCTCTCCTGCCTGAACCGTGGGGCCCGGCTGGGCTGAGAGAGAAGGTTTCTCATATAGACCTGGAAGGAGAAGAGGCAGTTTCCTCAGGGAGGTTCTTCCTTGTCACAGCTCCCCTCATACCTGAGCTGAGAACTCACTCCCCTGCTCTATGACCTAATGCTCTCTCTCTCTCTCACCCTCCACCCCAACTCTCTTCATGTCTATTTCCTCCTTCCGCCTTCTCTGTCTCTCTAGGTCTCTGACCTCACTTCCCCACCCCTGGGTATGCTTTCCCTTTTTGGATTGTTTTATTCTCTCTGACTCTCCTTGGATTGGTTGACTTGATCTTCCTTTTTCTATAATTCTGAGTCTCTCACTTTCTGTCTTGTTCATAACTTTCTGCATATTTCTATCTATTATCTATCTATCTATTTTGTGTCTATCTACAAATTATCTGTCATCTATATCTATGTATCATTTATCTATCAATTGTCTATCTGTCTATCCATCAATCATCTATGTATTATCTGTATCTATGTATCATCTCTCTCTCTCTCTATTACCTCTCTGTCTGCCTGTCAGTCTCTATGTATCATCTATGTATCTATATATTTATATATGTGTCTTCTATCTATCTTCATCATCATCATCATCATCTCTATGTATCATCTATCAATCATCATCTATGTATCTATAACCTATCCATTATCTATCATCTACCTATTTATCATCTATCTATATCTATCTATCCATCTATCATCTGTCTCTCTCCATCTCCTTGTCTTTCTCTGCCTCTCAGTCTCTCTAGTTCTATTTGGAATCTCTGCAATCCATCCCCACATCTTTATCTTTCTCTGTCTTTGTGCCCCTCCCTCAGGGTTCTGATTTTGGGGCTTTTCTCTCCTCCCTTCCAGCATTCTCTCCACTCCTCTGCCCTCTTTTCTTTCTTTTTGTGTGTCTGTGAGTCTCTCAATCCCCTTCCTCTGGCTCATTCTCTGTGTGTTTATGCCTTTGCTTTTTGAAGTCCCTGATTTATCTCTGTGTCTCTCAGTGATCCTATTATATGTAGGATTATTTGGAATATGAGCCTCAGAATCTAGTCTGGGGACACCAAGTACACACAGTATTTAGGGGTTGGTGTTCTGGGGCCATGATATCCTGGGATAATTATGGCTCCACTGCATGGAAGGCAGAGGTGTCAGAATAAACATGGCATCTGTAGATGCCACAAGGCCTGAGGCCACAGGGCCCAACTCAGGTCAGAAATATGGGTGTCCTTGGGTTCTCCTCGTAGAAGCACTTTGTGGAGACAAAACAGAAATGAAACTTCTAACCTGTGCCAGGTCTCTGAGCAAAGTCAGCATGGAAGGACACTTCTCTCTGGCACATGTCTGTCTGTCTGAGTGTCTCCTTTACCTCTTTCTCTCTTTTCTACTTCCCCGTATGGCCCCTGTGTCTGTCCTCTGTTATGACACCTGGTCTGTACTTATGTCTCCTGTTTCCCTGTCTCTGTTGGTACAGACCTCACCGAGTCAGTCTCTCTCCATAAGAATCCCACGCTTATCTTCCTCATGACCACCTGGGGGTTCCAAGTCCTGGATCATTCACTCTGTGTCCCAATGACAATGAGAAGAATGTCTGGACACTCTCACCTGTGATCACGATGTCCAGGGGGTCACTGGGAGCTGACAACTGATAGGGGGAGTGAGGAACAGAACCATAACATCTGTAGGTTCCTGCAAGGACAGGCATCAAGGGACCGATGGAGAAGTTGGCCTTGGAGACCCCATCATGGATCTGTCCAACGAGGCGTGAGGGGTCCTCAGAGATCCCCTCTCTGTGCAGAAAGAAGTGCTCAAACATGACATCTGACCAACATTGCAGGATGACTGTCTCTCCTGATTTCAGCAGGGGCCCTGGGTGGGCCAGGAGGGAAGGTTTTCTGTGGTTTCCTAGAAAGAGAAGTTGTGAGTTTAGAAGGCATCTCTCTTTATCATCCCATCCATGGCACCTGGAATGAGTGAGGGTTCCCCTCCCAGAGGTCTGTCTCTCTCCTCCCTCTCTGTGTCTCCGTGTCTTTTCTGTGCCCATATCCCCTGGTGCAGGTCCCTCCATTTGTCTTCCTCCCTCTTCTCTGTCCCTCTGTCTCCAGTAGCCCCTGACTCCCTTCCCACTGTGAAGAGAGCCTCATCTCTTGGGCTGTTGTATCTCTTTCCCACTAGTCTCTTTCCTGCTGTCTATGTGGGGGTGGAAGAGGACAGGCTGCATGTCCAGGCTCTCAGCAGCCTGAATCAATCTCTTTTGAACAAATTGGAGTCTCTGGCAGAGGTATCAACTCATCAGTAAGGCAGACATCAGTGTCCACACACCCTGTTCCTGATGGGGATTGGGAGCCTCTCCTGCCATGTCTGTGCCTTCTCCATGGCCCCAGCTTCCATAGGGTGGTCCCTGGTGCTGGTTCCAGGAGCATCAACCCCTTCCTATGTGGATGGAGCCTGGTGGTGGCATCAGCATCCCACCCTTGCTGATCCCACGGTAGCCAACCTTCTCCTTGTTTGGTTTCTTTAATTAATTGATTAATTAATTTATTTTTGAGACAGTCACTTTTTCACCCAGGCTGGAGTGCAGTGGTGTTGTCTTGGCTCACTGCAACCTCTGCCTCCCCGGTTCAAGTGATTATCTTGCCTCAGCCTCCCCAGTCGTTGGATTACTCGTGCCCACCACCACACCTGGCTATCCTTGTTTGGTTTCCTAGCTTGTCCTTGACCTGGGTTCCTGTGTCGGTTTCCTGTTGCTGCTGCAGAAAATTATCACAAACATGGCAGCAGGAGAGAACACACTGACCCCTTCCACTTCTGGGGACAGAAATTGGATCCAGTTCTCCCTGTGCTGAAATCAAGGCATCTGCAGGGCTGCGTTCCCTCTGGAGACTCAGCAAATCAGTTCTCTTGACTTCTCCAGCCCTTAGAGGCCACCTGCATTCTGTGACTAGTGGCCTTCCTCCACCTTCAAAGCCCACAGTGGCTGATAGCGTCTCCCTCCCACTACACTGCTCTAATCCCCACTCCCCTCTTCCTCCACCTCTCACGCGGACCCTTGTGATTACACTGAGCCCAGCAGGACAGTCCAGGCTGTCTCCCCATCTCAAGGTCAACTCATCAACAACCTGAGCTCCACCTTCCCCTTCAGTCCCCTGCCCTATAACATAAATAGTCACAGGCTCCAGGGTTTACAATGTAGCCATCATTGGCGACAGTTATTCTTCCCACCACAGCGCCCATTTCCCCTGTATTCAATCCCCCTTGACCCCAAATACAGTTGGGGCCTGGGTGATGGGACCCTGATGGACACCCCCACCAGAAGCTCTGGGATTCAGGAGGTGGGACAGTGAGAAGCCCAGACAGAAAGCCTCTGACCTGTGACCATGATCACCACGGGGTTGCTGGGTGCCGACCACCCAGTGAGGGAGTGTGGGCGTGAACCCCGACATCTGTAGGTCCCTGCATGTGCTGGGGTCACAGGGCCCATGATGAAGCTCTCCTGGAATATTCTGCCGTGGAAGATGGGAACGTGGCTTCTGTCTTCTTTGTACAGCATGAAATTGTTAAACCCACGACGATAGTGACACTGAAGAGCCACGTGTCCTCCTCGAGGCACCACAGTGCTGGGCCGGGCAGACAGGAAGGGTTTGTCCTGACCACCTGGGGGAGAAGGAGGCACTGCCTTAGAGAGGAGGATGTGGAGCCACCCCTCCCTCCCTGTGCTCAGAAGATTCTCCCATTTCCGCTTTCTAAGGCTCCTACCACACCTGGGTGCCCAGGGCTACAGGAAGGACCCACCCCACATAGACATGGCGTCTCCCTACAACAAGTGTCAGCTGAGAACTTTGAGCAAGTGCTGAATAAGTGACTCTTACTAGATTTTAATACTGCAAAATTACTCACATAAAACAACACAAAGTAGACACGGCATGGAGGGCATGTCCTATGTGAATGGAATATCAGCCAATTCATGAACTGAGCCCCCTCAGAGGATTTGGAATGTCAGGGCCATGGCTGTGGTTTCCCCCCTCTTCTGGTAGAAAGACCGCAGCCACACTGCAGCCCCTACCGTCACGGAAACGCTGGAGGGTGTCAGTTATACCTTTGTCCTCAGAGGACCTGCTGTTCCTAGCACTGCTTCCCTCTCTTTCTCTGCTGCTGACACCACTTCCTCCCTGCACACCCCAGCTTGGAGCACCCCAGTCTCACCCCAGTCTTCACAGAGCTTGACTCAGGAAAGGGAAAGAAAGGCCAGGGAGGGCGAGGTCAGAAATGTGGGCCGAGTATCCAAGGGTCCCCTCTTCCTAGTTTATGAGAGACTCCCCGACAGGACTTCCCTCCTGTTTCAGAAAAATCCTCTTATGTGGGGAGATGACACCCTAAGGTTTGGGGACGGACTCACCCATGAGTGGCCAGGCCCCCTGCAGCAAGAAGAACCCTGGAAAGAAAGATCATGATAGACGATCCAACTGCAGGCAAACCAGGGCACCCTGCTGCCCCCACTGCACTGTGTGTCTTGGCAGCCAGGCCCTTGCTGGGCTGAAGGTAAACTTAGCCTCCCTGCTACCTGCTGCCAAGAACAGGGCTCTCAGCTGTGGAGAGACCCAGGCTCCAGGCCCAGATCAACACTTCCTGGCCCAGATCTCCACTCCAGGCCCATATCTCCACTCCAGGCCCCTATCTCCACTCCAGGCCCATATCTCCACTCCAGGCCCATATCTCCACATCAGACCCATATCTCCACTCCAGGCCCAGATCTCCCCTCTAGGCCCATATCTCCACTCCAGGCCCATATCTCCACTCCAGGCCCATATCTCCACATCAGACCCATATCTCCACTCCAGGCCCATATCTCCACTCCAGGCCCAGATCTCCACCTGCAGGCCCATATCTCCACTCCAGGCCCATATCTCCACTCCAGGCCCGTATCTCCACTCCAGGCCCATATCTCCACACCCAGGCCCATATCTCCCCTCCAGGCCCATATCTCCACTCCAGGCCCATATTTACACCTCCAGGCCCATATCTCCACACCCAGGCCCATATCTCCACTCCAGGCCCATATCTCCACTCCAGGCCCATATCTTTACCTCTAGGCCGAGATCTCCATCCCCACTCTCCCTCCCTCTATTCCCTTCCAGGACTCACCAACGCACGCCATGCTGACGACCGTGAGCGACATGGTGCTGCCGGTGCAGACAGGAGGCCGCGCCCCAGCTCAGCTCAGCAGCGCACAGGATGTTATTTGGCGCCCTGCCCATGCAGTTTACATGTTGACCACATCATGGGAGGGTGACGTACGCAGGCTCTTTCTACCTTGCATGAGGCCCAGTGGGTGCTCGCTCAAGAGCGGAACATGGCTTCCTGGAAATTGTTGTGACTACAATTGCCACCTTGCATCCTTCACTATGACCAGACTCAAAAGACGTCTCAGATCCAACCTCTCACACATGAGGTGATTGAATTCTGTGCTTACATTAAAGACTTTTGATGTATTTTTGTTTTTATCTGAGATTCAAACTTTTCTTCATGTGTAATGTGCAAAATATCTAAGAGGTATTATTAACATTATCAGAGTAATTGTGACAAAAAGCCATTCTAATTTTCCTGATGAGTTTCTAGTACTAAACCTGAGGCACGAGAATTGCTTGAACCTGGGAGGCGGAGGCTGCAGTGAGCTGAGCTCAAGCCACTGAACTCCAGCTTGGGTGACAGAGGAAGAGTCTGTCTCAAGAAAGAAAAAAAAAAGCAAACTAAATAACCTATAATAACAAATCAGAGAACTCAGGTTACCAAATTTTAAGGGGTTCTATAAGTTTATATGAAATGCAGCATCCTCATGAGAGGGGATACAGAGAACCACTGGGCAGAAAACTGTGTCTAAAATACATCTGTGGATACACAGTCCCTTTATAGTTGACAAAGGCTGCCATGTAGTTTAAGGTGGAATAGAATATTTTCTCAACAAATAACACAGGACCATAGGGTTACACGTAGGAAAAAATAAATCTAAACTTATCCTCACACTATAAAGACACTTCTTATTTTTTATCTTGTTGTTGTAAACTTTTTATGCTTTATTTTTAAGATTGACAAATAAAAATTATATACTGTGGTCCTTCACTATTCCTGGGTGATTGGTTCCAGGATCCCCATTCAGATACCAAAATCTGCAGATGCTCAAGCCCCTTGCATGAAATGGCATAGCGAAGCTGGGCACCGTGGCTCACGCCTGTAATCCCAGCACTTTGGGAGGCTGAGTTGGGTAGATCACGAGGTCAGGAGTTCAAGACCAGCTGGTCCAACATTCTGAAACCCCGTCTCTACTAAAAATACACACACAAAAAAATTTATCTGTGCATGGTGGCACGTGCCTGTAATCCTAGGGGAGGCTACTGGGGAGGCTGAGGGAAGACAATCGCTTGAACCTGGGAGGCGGAGGTTGCAGTGAGCTGAGATCATGCCACTGCACTCCAGCCTGGGTGAGAGAGTGAGACTGTCTCAAAAAAAAAAAAAAAATAGCATAGCAATTGCATAGAACCCATGCACATCCTCCTGTATACATGAAATCATCCCTTGATTACTTATAATTCCTGACACAGCCTACACGCCACTCAATTTGTGTCGATTCAACATAGTTTTTTGCTTCTTGAAACTTCGGGGATTTTTTTCTGAAAATATTTTTGATTTATTGTTGGTTCAATAAACACCTGTAAACCCCACAGATATGGAGGACCGACTGTATATTTATATTATGAAAGATGATATGTTGATATGTGTCCCCGTGGAGATGAGACTAACAAGGCCTATGACTCTACAAATGTTTCATCGTGGAATGACTCTGCCAGCTTTCCAGGTCTGCAGAGAGTAAGAATATCACTTGTTCATGTGATTCACGATCCTTGGAGCCTCCTATGTGCTGTATCTTTGGATGGAAATTGGAGTCTCAGAGACAAATCAGGCTCCATTCTGCTTCCAGAAGCTCAGAGTCCAGGGCTGAGAACCCAATGGAGAACAGATGGGGTTATGTGGACATGGTAATGATAACACCGGAAGCCTTAGGCAAGAAAAGAGTCTCGTTACCGAAACCATGAGGGCAGACATGTTTATTTGAAGGCGGGAAAACTACATTGAAATTATTTAAAAAATTTATAAGTTTTACTGCTGGCAGAAGGCTGAAAGATAGTCTGAAGGGAGGTGGAACAGCACGTGTCTAAGTGCTGTGTTAAGAGGCAGCCTCTTGTATGTTTGGAATTGTGAGTTCCTCAGTGTGATTGCAGCCTCAGGTAGACTAGGAAGTAAGCCAGTTAGGTTGGAGAGGTGGGCAGGGGTCAAGTGAAATGGAGAATTGTGGGCTAAGCAAAGGAGTGTGTTTTCTCTCCAGCAGGCAGTGGGGACCTTAGACATTTGTAAGCAAGAGAGAGGCATGTTCAGATTCGTGGTGTGAGGAAGAGCGATGCCCTAAGATGAAGACTGATGCCTTCAGATTCCAGCTGCTGGTACATGGGAGCTGGCAACCCGGTTTTGAGACAGGGCTGTTGTCTCCCTAGAAGATCCCCTCAAGGCCTGACTGTGGTGCTCGTGGACAGAAGACAACTTTGGATCTGGGCTCAGCATTTGGAAGTTCTATGTACATGCTGGTATCTGTTGGGGGTGTCTTGGGCCTCTCAGAAGGGCGAGTGATTTTTCTCTGTGTGAAAACACAGTGATCCAATTATGCGTATGACACCTCCTGATGGTCTTGTTCATCAGAATCCTGGAGAGAGGGAAATGCTGAGTGAGGGAGGGTGCTCACATTTTTCAGGACTCTTTGGGAATAAGACTAGCCACGAGGCTGGGCGGAGGAGCACCTACCTCGCTGTTCACTGTTCTGTTCCCTGCAGGCTCTTGGTCCATTACAGCAGCATCTGTAGAAGACGGAAGTCAACAAAAGAGCTCGGAGGGCACTTCTGGGTCCTCATTTCATAAGCAGATACCAACAAACAGGGGGAGGCCATAGGTGCCTGAGGTCCCTCAGTTGCCAACAGCAGACTCAGACATTCTATCTCTCTGAGTTCAAGGACCCATCCCATGAATAGCTCTGAGGTCCCATCCCATTGATTCTATCTCCCACTTTCTGCCTGTCATGGAACCTTCTCCTGGATGTGAGTGGCTGCAGGGGACGTGAGGATACAGTTCAGAATCAGGCAATGGTCTGTGAGCTGAAGGCAGGGGAAGGGAATCTGGTGCTCTCTCTAGAAAGTCCTGCCTCTGTGGCTCCTGTCTTGGGCCAGGGACCATCCTGCTGGTGAGGAACACACATCCGCGTGCTCCCATCCTGCTTCCCCACATGGCCCTGAGCTCTCTGGCCTCTGCTTCGTGAGACTTACTTTTTTTGTCGGAGCACCAGCGATGAAGGAGAAAGAAGAGGAGGATGGTGAAAGGGATTTTGACCACTGAGGTCCCAATCAGAACATGTAGGTGTCTGGGGTTACCTGGAAGAAGAGGAGACACCAATAAGAAGCTAATCATAGCAGTTCCTCTTTATGAATTGTCTCGCATTTCTTGATTGGCAGGTAACCACATACAACGTCTCTTTAGGACAAGCACCCAAATGGCGGGAGACCTAGCTTTCCCCTGCTTTCTCAATTATAGCTCTCATAGTAACCATAGAACGTGCTGAGGATACAACTACTTTAGTTGAGATGTTTGACCCTTTCAAACCTCACATTGAAATTTCACCCCCATTGTGGGAGGTTGGGCCTCTTCAGAGGTGTTTGGGTCATGGAGGTGGATCCATCATGAACAGATCAATGCTGTCCCAAGGAGACGGGGTTAGCAAGTTCCCCCTCTGTTAGTTCCTGGAGAGCTGGTTGTTAAAAAGAGCTTGGAAGCTCCATCGCTCCCTCTCCCCCTTACTCTCTCTCTTGCCGTGTGATCTCTGCGGTCTCTGCACAGACAGACCCTCCTTCCCTTCTGCCAGAGTGGGAGCAGCCTGAGGCCGTCACGAGAAATAGATTCTGGTGCCATGCTTCCAGTACAGCCTGCAGAACTGTGAGGCAAACCAATCTCTTTTCTTTAGAAGTTACCCAGGCTCAAGTGTTCCTTTAGAGCAACAAAAATGGACTAAGATAGCAACATCCTGAGATCAGGAGGAATGTCTCAGAACAGCCTGGGCTGTCTTCCTGTTCTTCCTGGAGGAGGACGTCATGCAGTGCTTTAGCTGAGTGCTTCCTGTGGCTCCAGGGTACAAAACCCAGGCTGGGCTGCTTTCTGGCTTCCCGCAGCTACACTGCAAATGGGGTGACTCCATATGTCCCGAGCAGCTTTTCTGAGCCTTGAGGGACTGGCTCACATTGAAATGCAGGCTTCTGTTGTCACTCGCTGCTTATCTGTTAGTAATGAACCTGCCTATGTAACGTATTCTCTGTGTGTTCTGTCTCCCTGGAGTGACGGTGAGTGATAGGAATTGGCATAGGCCCAGGTGCAGTCCAGGATTTGTTTAGAGTCTTCTCTGGGAAGACTGCACTGGGATTGATACACAGCGAATGTGCTTTAGGATTTCTACATCCACAGCATTCTTGAGTCAAACAAATTGCATTCACCAAGGAAAGGAAACAAAGGTGAAATCACGATTAAAAATAGCGAAGCAAGATTCTCTTATGTCAAACAGCCAGGAAATAGTGTTGAAGCCCGTGTGAAATGTGCTACTCTTTGTGATCTCGGGAGACACATGTTAGGCTGCTGTTCTACCCGAGAGGCTGGGGGAAGGACCACCCCCTCGACCATCTATTGCTTCAATACCACCTGTCCTCCTGTGAATTAGTAGGAAAGGGGAACAGGAGCTAGTGCTGTCGCTGATCTCTGATTCCAAGATCTGGACTCACTCCAAGGAGTATTAATGTTTCCTCCCCATGGTCTATCTGAATCTCCACAGGTGATTGGAAGTAGGGGTGAGGTGGGGGATTTGGGTGAGTGGGCAAGTTTTTTTTTGCGATGACCAGAGCACTTTCTCTATTCCAGGATCCGTGCTGGAGGATTCAGCGGGCTTTCACATTTTCTATGTGATCTCATGCTCACAGAAAGCCAAATAGGGAAGAGGTTTTAGGCTCATTGCCTAATGGATAAGATAAAGGATCAAAGAAGTAATTATAGAGAAATAGAAAAATGATGATTGGAATTCAGGTGCCTTTGTCATTCGTGTGTGTTTTATTATATTTATGCATTTCTTATTTTTATTTTTTGAGACGGAGTCTCCTTGTGTCACCCAGGCTGGAGTGCAGTGATGCAATCTCCACTCACTGCAACCTCCACCTCCTGGGTTGAAGTCATTCTCCTGCTTCATCCTCCAGAGTAGGAGCTGGGATTACAGGGATGCACCACCATGCTCGGCTAATTTTTGTATTTTTAGTACAGATAGGGTTTCACCATGTTGGCCAGGCTGGTCTGGAACTCCTGACTTCATGGAATCCACCCGCCTTGGCCTCCTGCAGGGCTGGGTTACAAGCATGAGCCACCGTTCACAGACTTGTATATTATGCTATAATAGGTCCCTTCATTTCCACCACCCCTCATATATCTGTCACTCCTTTGCCAGGTATTGATTTATGTGTAGGATGAATAAATCTCAGAAAGAAATTAATTAAGCGAGGATTAAACAAGTAGGAAAATCAAACCCAGCAAGCCTTTCCAGCCAATGATTCTACCTCACAAGCATATCTTATATCCATCTACTTCATTCATTTAGTGTCTAAATCAGCACCACATTTCACCAGTGGGGCGGCAATTGCCTTTTCCACAGTCTCCTAGATTCCAGTTACGCACCTGGGCCTCCCTTATTTTCTTGTCAGTCACTATTAATCATGTAGGGATTCCTGGTTACCCCGAGGTGAATCCAATGGCTGTGAGTGTCAAACACACACTCCTTGTTCCTCCTTAGTTTCCTGTGTACCCAGAGTGCTCTCCATCTCTCTACAGTCATCTTGTCATTCTCCCCACCTCATTCCCAGCATTTCAGGCAGAGCCTCTTCCTTCAACATCAGATTGTTTTCACCTTTGTGCCTTCACAGCTGACAGCTGTGTGTGGAAAATCCTTCCGCCAATCTTTCAGGGGTTCAATCCGTGTTTTTCATTAATGTCACAAATATCTGATTAGTGAGACCTTCTCTGTCACCCAAAATTATACACTCAGCATTATCTATTATTTATTTTGAATTCTGGCTGGGCAAAGTGGCTCACGCCTGTAATCCCAGTACTTTGGGTTGCTGAGATGGTCGGATCACTTGAGGTTGGGAGTTTCAGACAAGCTTGGCCAACATGGTGAAACATCCTCTCTACAAAAAATATACAAAAAGAATTAGCCGGGCATGGTGGCAGTTGCCTGTAATCCCAGCTACTCGAGAGGGTGAGGCAGGAGAATCACTTGGATCCAGGAGACGCAGGTTGCAGTGAGCCAAGATCGTGACACTGCACTGTAGCCTGGAAGACAGAGGGAGACTCTGTCTCAATAAACAAACGAACGAACAAACAAATAGATTTCATGCACAGATGCTTCCCAATGGATCATTCATTTATTGGTCCACTTGTGCATTCATTTTCTGTCCTCCCATTTAACCATCTGCAATATCAGTGTCCCAAGAGCAGAGGCCAAATGCATCTTGTTCACCATTTGTGGAAGGCAGGAGAATGCTGTCCCACCCCAAAATGTCCCTGTCCTAGCCTCCATAGCTTGTGAATATGTTATTTTACATGGAAAGGAGGAATGAAGATTGCAGATGGAATTATGGTTGCTAATCAGCTGAACTTAAAACAAGGGTATCCTGAATGATTTCCGGGAGATTATGACGGATTTTCATCTTGGTGAACCCAATAGAATCCCCAAGTTTTCAAAAGATGAGGAAGAAGGGAGAGCAGCATTCAGAGAAAGAGGTGTGGTAAGGAAGAAGGGTCTGAGTGATGCCATGTGAGATGTGACCAGTCTTTGTGGGTTTTGAGGAAGGAGGAAAGGGACCAGCAGCCAAGGAACTGGGAGCCTTTATAAGATGGGACAAGTGAGAAGCAGATTCTTGCCTGGAATCCTCAGAGGGAAGGCAGGCTTGCTGTCATCTTGATTTTAGCCCAGTGAGATGCACTTCATGCTTTGAGCTAGAGCACTGTAAGATAATTAAATAACCGTTTTGTTTTCACCCACGAATCTTGTGGAAATTTGTTATGGCAACAATAGGAAAAGCTTCCACACTGCACAACCTGAGCATGGGGCCGTGGCTGAATAAGTCAGTGAGTCAAAGTGTGCGTGCATGAGCTCTGTTCTCTGTTACGGCAAGGCTCTTGCTCTGCTGAGTCAGCCAGGGTTGTTTCATGACCAACAGGAGCTCATTCCTTGGCAAGTGGAACTTCTCTAAAACACCTCGCCCTCATCAGATGTTCGCTTCCCTTCCCTCTCTCAAGCCCCCAGGAATTTATCCTCCAGTTAGGAATGCAAGCAGAACAAACATTGCGTTTTTCCTGAGAAGGATGTCAGATTGGCAATCATTCTTCTAGCTTGTAGGAGGTCTCAGCTCCATAAAATGAGAGATGAAGAGATTTCACTGAGCCCTGTGTTGGGCCCAGATCCCTTTCGCTGTTGGAGTATCTGGAGTTCGGAGATGGTAGAAGACAGGCGTACAATGTCAGAGCTGTGAGATGCTGAGTCAACGCCTGAATCCAAGGTTTCCACCTCCCCAGGGTTCCAAAAGCGGATATAAGAGGGTCCTGTACTCACCGGTTTTGGAGCTTGGTTCAGTGGGTGAAGGCCAACTATTTGAAGGGTTTCCTAGAACATGAGACAGGAGAGAGGTGAGGAAATGAGGGTGTCTGTCCTCTACTCAGTGGAAATCTTTGAGTTTGGTTCATGGCCAACACTCTGTTATCTAACATTGGGCCCTGGGAGTCCAGGGATCCTTTCTTCCATAATTTTTGTATGTGACGCCCACTGTCTTGAGACTTCAAGGTATAAAGAGAAAACAGGAGCATCACACTACCTGATCTCAAAATATGTTACAGAGCTGTAGTAAGCAAAACAGCATGATGTTGGCATGAAGAAAGGCACATAGAACAACGGAGCAGAATGAAGAACACAGATATAATCCATGCATTTACATCCAATTTTTTTTATTTTTTCTTTTGAGATGGAGTCTCGCTCTGTCACCCAGGCTGGAGTGCAGAGGTGCAATCTCGGTTCACTGCAACCTCAGCCTCCTGGGTTCAATCAATTCTCTTGCCTCAAACTCCTGAGTAGTAGTATTACAGGTGCTGACCACCATGCTCAGCTAATTTTTATATTTTTAGTGGAGACGAGGTTTCATCACGTCGGCCAGAGTAATCTTGTACTCCTGTCCTCAGGTGATCCACCAGCCTTGGCCTCCCAAAGTGCTGAAGTTGCTGGTGTTAGCCACCATGCCCAGCCCATCCAATGGACTTTGACAAAGGTGCCAAGAACTCACAATCAGGAAAGGACAGTTTTTTCAATAAACAGTGCAGGGAAACCTGGACATCTACATGCAGAGGAATGAAACTGCACCTCTACCTGTCACCATACACAAAAATCAAATGAAAGTGGATTAAAGATGTGAGTCTAAGGCCTGAACCTGTGAAACACGTAGAAGAAAATATTGGGGAAATGCTCCAGTACATTTGTCTGAAGGAAGACATTTTGTTTTAAACCTTCAAAACACAAGTAATCGAAGCAAAAATAGACCATTGGGATTACCTCAAACTAAGCAACTTCTGCACCGCTAAAAATAAACCAACAAAGTGAAGAGACAACCCACAGATTGGGAGCAAATATGTGCAAACTATGCATCTGAGACGGGATTAATAACTAGAAGTATAAGAAGCTCAAACAACTCAATAAAACAAATGATTTAATTGAAAAAGGAGCAAAAGACATGAAATTTCCCCACATACGAAAAAGTGCTCAGTATCACTCATCATCAGAGAAACGCGAATTAAAATCAAAGTGAGTTTTCATCTCACCCCATTAAAATGGCTTTTAGGCCGGGCGAGGTGGCTCACGTCTGTCATCCTAGAACTCTGAGAGCCCGAGGTGGGCGAATCTCATAAGGTCGGGAGTTTGAGACCAGTCTGACCCACATGGAGAAACGCTGTCTCTACTAAAAATACAAAAATTAGTCGGGCGTGGTGGCGTGTGCCTGTAATTCCAGCTACTCGGGAGGCTGAGGCAGGAGAATCGCTTGAACCTGGGAGGTGGAGGTTGCGGTGAGCCGAGATCGCACCACTGCACTCCAGCCTGGGTGACAAGAGCGAAACTCCATCTCAAAATAAAATGAAATAAAATAAAATGGCTTTTAGCTGCAAGACAGGCAAAACAAATGCTGGCAAGGTGGTAGAGAAAGGAGAACCCTGGTACCCTGTTGGTAGGAGTGTAAATTAGTACAGCCATTACGGAGAAAAGTATGGAAGTCCTTTAAAGAACTAAAAAGAGGTTGGATGAAGTGGATCATGCCTGTAATCCCGGCACTTTGGGAGACCGAGGCGGGCACCTCAGTTGAGGTCATGAGTTTGAGAGCAGCCTAGCCAACCTGGGGAAACCCCATGTACACTAAAAAAAACCAAAAAGTATCCCGGCATGGTGGCGTGCACCTGTAATCCCAGCTACTAGGGAGGCTGAGGCAGGAAAATCATTTGAACCCAGGAGGCGGAGGTTGCAATGAGCCAAGATCACATCACTTGTACTCCAGCCTGGGCACAGAGGGAAACTGTCTCAAAAACAAAAACAAAACAACAAACGAAAAACTAAAAAGAGAACTTTCATAGTATCCAGCAATTTCACTACTGGGTTTATATCCAAAGGAAAGTAAATCAATGTATCGAAGTGATATCTGCACTCGTATGATTGGTGCAGCACTCTTCACAGTAGCCAAGATGTGGAGTCAACCTACCTGCCCATC
Organism: Homo sapiens; assembly: GCF_000001405.40. Classification (NCBI taxonomy): domain Eukaryota; kingdom Metazoa; phylum Chordata; class Mammalia; order Primates; family Hominidae; genus Homo; species Homo sapiens. Next base: position 142,373 of record NW_016107301.1, on the reverse strand, counting down.
AGTGGATGAATGGATAGAGAGAATGTAGTACATACGCACAGCGGAGACTACTCATCCATAGAAAGAATAACATCCTGATATTTGCAGCCACATGGATGGAACTGGAAGTCATTACAAATATTCTCATTTCTCACCCATATACAGGAGCTAAAAGGTGGATCTCATGAAGATAGAGAGTAGAATGGTGGCTACCAGAGGCCAGGAAGAAAAGGGTGGAGGATAAAACAAACAAACAAAAAATTTATATGTATGTATTTATGACCACTAGACCTTACACTTAAAATTGGTAAACGTGGCCGGGCGCGGTGGCTCATGCCTGTAATCCCAGCACTTTGGGAGCCTGAGGCGGGTGGATCACGTGGTCAGGAGTTCCAGAGCAGCTCGACCAACATGGTGAAACCCCCTCTCTACTAAAAATACAAAAAGTAGCCCGGCGTGGTGATGGGCGCCTGTAGTACCAGCTACTCAGGTGGCTGAGGCAGGAGAATCGCTTGAACCCAGGAGGCGGAGGTTACAGTGAGCTGAGATTGTGCCACTGCATTCCAGCATAGGAGACAGAGCTAGACTCCACCTCAAAAAAAAAAAAATGTTAAAAGTGGTAAGCTATATAGGTATATTTAACCTCAATGAATATTTTTTCAAACAAAAAGAAAAGGATGTAGGGGTTGCTGGTGATGACATCTCTGTGTGGGTGAGAGGCCAGGAAGGGCTTCTGGGAAATGGGTAAGGTTGAGGGGCTGAGGGAACCTCTGATCTCCCCAAACTGAGCCCAGTCTCCCCTTCTCTGGGTCTCTCCTGACCGCTTTCTACATCTGCCTGGGTTTCTGGAGCCCTAATCGGAGGCCTCCATGCAGGCCATGCAGGAGGGTTTGGAGGTGCTGTGTGTGCCATCCTGCGCCCTGATCCCTCCCTCACAGGCATGCTGCGTCTTCTCTCTGCATCTGTCCATGCTTCTCTCCATCATCAGCAGGAAGCTCCTCAGCTAAGGCTCTAGGATCATAGGACATGGGACAGATATGGGGTTTCCTCACCTGTGACGGAAACAAGCAGTGGATCACTCGAGTTTGACCACTCGTAGGGAGCGTCACGGAAAGAGCCGAAGCATCTGTAGGTCCCTCCGTGGGTGGCAGGGCCCAGAGGAAAGTCGGCCTGGAATGTTCCGTTGATGCTGCGCACTGCAGGGAGCCTACGTTCATGGGCCTCCCCTTCCCTGGATAGATGGAGCTGCAGGACAAGGTCACATTCTCTCCTGCCTGAACCGTGGGGCCCGGCTGGGCTGAGAGAGAAGGTTTCTCATATAGACCTGGAAGGAGAAGGGGCAGTTTCCTCAGGGGGGATCTTCCTTGTCACAGCTCCCCTCACACCTGACCTGAGAACTCACTCCCCTGCTCTATGGCCTAATGCTCTCTTTCTCTGTCTCACCCTCCACCCTATCTCTCTTCATGTCTATTTCCTCCTTCCACCTTCTCTGTCTCTGTAGGTCTCTGACCTCACTTCCCTACCTCTAGTTATGTTTTCCGTTTTTGGATTGTTTTATTCTCTCTGGCTCTCCTTGGATTGGTTGACTTGATGTTACTTTTTTTAACTCTGAGTTTCTCAGTTTGTGTCCCGTTCATAACTTTCTGCATATTTCTATCTATTATCTATCAATCCATCTATTTATCTATTCGGTGCCTATCTACAAATTCTCTACCTGTCATCTATATCTATATATCATCTATTTATCTATCAATTGTCTATCCGTCAATCATCTATTATCTATATATATGTATCATCTCTCTCTCTCTATTATTTCTCTCTTTGTCTTCCTCTCTATCTCTATGTATTATCTATCCATCTATCTTCATCATCATCATCTCTATGTATCATCTATTAATGAATCAATCAATCATCATCTATGTATCTATAACCTATTATCTATCATCTACCTATATATCATCTATCTATATCTATCCATCATCTATCTGTATCTATCCATCTATCATCTGTCTTGCTCTGCCTCTCGGTCTCTCTAGTTCTCTTTGGAATCTCTGCAATTCATCCCCACATCTCCATCTTTCTATGCCCTTGTGCCTCGCCCTCAGGACTCTAATTTTAGTGGTTTTCTCTGCTCTCTTCCATCATTCTCTCCACTTCTCTGCCCTCTTCTCTCTCTTTATGTGTCTGTGAGTCTCTCAATCTCCTTCCTCTGGCTCTTTCTCTGTGTGTTTATGTCTTTGCTTTTTGGTGTCCCTGATTTCTCTCTGTGCTTCTCAGTGATCCTCTCATATGTGATATGTGGGGTTATTTGGAATGTGAGCCTCAGAATCCAGTCTGGAGACCACAAGTTCACACAGCATACAGGGGTTGGTGTTCTGGGGCCATGATATTTTGGGACGATTATTCTCCATTGCATGGAAGTCAGAGGTGTCAGAATAAGCATGGCATCTGTAGGTGCCACAAGGCCTGAGGCCACAGGGCCCAACTCAGGTCAGAAATATGGGTGTCCTTGGGTTCTCCTGGTAGAGAACACTTTGTGGAGGTAAAACAGAAATGAAACTTCTAACCTGTGCCAGGTCTCTGAGCAAAGTCAGCATGGAAGGACACCTCTGTCTGGGACATGTCTGTCTGTCTCCTTTAACTCTTTCTGTCTTTTCTAACTCCCTGTATGGCCCCTGTGTTTGTCCTCTGTTATGACACCTGGTCTGTACTTGTGTCTCTTGTTTCTCTGTCTCTGTTGGCACAGACCTCACCAAGTCAGTCTCTCTCCATAAGAATACCAAGCTCATCTTCCTTACAACCACCTGGGTCTCCAAGTCCTGGATCATTCACTCTGCATCCCAATGACAATGAGAAGAATGTCTGGACACTCTCACCTATGATCACCATGTCCAGAGGGTCACTGGGAGCTGACAACTGATAGGGGGAGTGAGGAACAGAACCGTAGCATCTGTAGGTTCCTGCAAGGACAGGCATCATGGGACCAATGGAGAAGTTGGCCTTGGAAACCCCATCATGGTGCTCTCCAATGAGGTGCAAAGTGTTGTTAAACTTCCCCTCTCTGTGCAGAAGGAAGTGCTCAAACATGACATCCGACCAACATTGCAGGATGACTGTCTCTTCTGATTTCACCAGGTGACCTGGGAGGGCCAGGAAGGAAGGTTTTCTGTGGACTCCTAGGAAGAGAGGTTGTGAGTTTAGAAGGTGTCTCTCTTTATCATCCCATCCATGGCACCTGGAATGAGTGAGCCTTCCCTTCGCTGGTGTCTGTCTCTCTGCTTCCTCTCTGTGTCTTCATGTTCTTTTCTGTGCCCATAACTCCTGGTGCAGGTCCTTCCATCTGTCTCCCTCCCTCTTCTCTGTCCCTCTGTCTCTAGTAGCTGTGATTCCCTTCCCACTGGGCTCAGCCTCATCTCTTGGGCTGTTGTATCTATTTCACACTAATGTCTTTCTTACTGTCTATGTGGGAGTGGAAGAGGAAGCAGGATAGGCTGCACGTCCCGGCTCTTAGCAGCTTGGTTCAATCTCTTTTGGACGAATTGGAATCCTTGGCAGGAGGTATGAACTGATCAGTAAGGCAGGCACCAGTGTCCACACACCCTGTTCCTGGTGGGGACTGGGAGCCACTCTTGCCATGTCTGTGCCTTCTCCATGGTGCCAGTTTCCATAGGCTGGCTCCTCGTGCTGATTTGAGGAGTATCAACCCCTCCCTATGTGGATGGAGCCTGGTGGTGGCATCATCATCCCACCCTTGCTGATCTCGGTGTAGCCAACCTTCTCTTTGTTTGGTTTCTTTAATTAATTAATTAATTTTGGAGACAGAGTCTCACTCCTTCACCCAGGCTGGAGTGAAGTGGTGTGGTCTACGCTCACTGCAACCTCTGTCTCCTGGGTTCAAGCGATTCTCCTGCTCTCAGCCTCCCGAGTCGCTAGGATTACATGCACCTGCCACCATGCCTGGCTATCCTTGTGTCTTTTCTTAACTTGTCCTTGACCTGGGTTCCAGTGTTGGTTTCCTGTTGCTGCTGTAGAAAATTATCAGAAGCATGGCAGCAGGAGAGAGCACACTGACCCCCTCCGATTCTGGAGACAGAAAGCGGACCCTGTTTTTCGAGGGCTAAAATCAAGGCATCTGCAGGGCTGTGTTCCCTCTGGAGACTCAGGAGAATCAGTTACTTGACTTTCCCAGCCTCTATAGGCCACCTGCATTCATGGCTTATGGCCTTCATCCACCTTCAAAGCTGATGGAGTCTCCCACTACGCTGCTCTAATCCCCACTCTCCTCTTCCTCCTCCTTTCATGTGGACACTTGTGATTATACTGAGCCCACCGGGACAGTCCAGGCTGTCTCCCCATCTCAAGGTCAACTCATCAACAACCTGAGCTCCATCTTCCCCTTCAGTCCCTTCCCCTATAACATAAATAGTCACAGACTCCAGGGATTAGAATGCAGTCATCACTGGGGACACTTATTCTTCCCACCACAGCACCCATTTCCCTGTATTCAATCCCCCTTTACCCCAAATACAGTTAGGGCCTGCGTGATGGGACCCTCAAGGACATGCCTACCAGAAGCTCTGGGATTCAGGAGGTGGGACAAGGAGAATCCCAGACAGGAGCCCTCTGACCTGTGACCACGATCACCAGGGGGTTGCTGGGTGCCGACCACCCACTGGGGGAGTGTGTGTGTGAACCCCGGCATCTATAGGTCCCTGCATGTGACGTGGTCACAGGGCCCATGAAAAGGCTTTTCCAGAATATTCTGTTGTACAGCTCAGGGACAGGCACCCCATCATCCTTGTACAGACTGAAGTTGTTAAACCCAAGATTAGAGTGACACTGAAGAGTCACATGTTCTGGAGGCACCACAAGGCTGGGCCAGGTAGAAAGCAAGGGCTTGTCCTGACCACCTTGGGGTGAAGGAGGCGCCGCCTTAGAGAGGAGGATGTGGAGCTGTGCCTCCCTCCCTGTGCTCAGAAGATTCTCCCCACTTTCCACATTTCTATGGCTGCTATCACACCTTGGTGCCTAGGGCTAAAGGAAGGACCCATCCCACAAAGACAAGGTGTCTCCGTACAACAAAAGTGTCAGCTGAGAACTTTGAGCAAGTGCTGAGTAAGAGACTCCTACTAGATTTTAATACTGTAAGATTACTGACATAAAACAACACAGGGTAGACATGAAGTGGAGGGCATGTCCTTTGAGAATGGAATATCAGCAGTTGCCTGAATGAAAATAAAAAACTTAGCCCCCATCAGAGGATTTGGAATGTCAGGGCCATGGCTGTGGTTTCCCACCTCTTCTGGTAGAATGACAGCAGCCACACTGCAGCCCCTACCGTCATGGAAACGCTGAAGTGTGTGAGTAACACCTTTGTCCTCAGAGGATCTGCTGTTCCTACCACTTCCCCACCACACAACCCAGCTTTGAACACCCTAGTCCAACCCTGGTCCCCACACAACTTGACTCTGCCAAGGGGTTGAGAGGCCAGGGAGGCAAGGTCGGAACTGTGGGCCGAGCACCCCAGGGTCCCCTCTTCCTAGTTTATGAGAGACTCCCTGACAGGACTTCCCTCCCGTTTCAGGAAAATCCTCTTATGTGGGGAGATGACACCCTAAGGTTTGGAGAAGGACTTACCCTCCTGTGGCCAGGCCCCCTGCAGCAAGAAGAACCCTGGAAAGAAAGATCATGATGGAAGATCCATTTGCAGGCAAACAAGGCCTTCCTTGCTGCCCCCACTGGGCTGTGAGTCTTGATAGCCAGCCCCTTCCTGGGCCGAAGGGAAACTCACCATCAGAGCCTACCTGCACCCAAGAACAGTGCTCTCGGCTGTGCAGAGACCCAGCCTCCAGGCCCATATCCCCACCCCAAGCCCATATCTCCACTCCAGGCCCATATCTCCACTCCAGGCCGATATTTCCACCCTAGACCCATATAGCCAATCCGGGCCCACATCTCCAATCCAGGCTCAGATCTCCACCCTCGGCCCATATCTCCAATCCAGGCCCATATCTCCACTCCAGGCCCATATCTCCACTCCAGTCCCATATCTCCTCTCCAGTCCCATATCTCCACTCCAGGCCCATATCTCCACCCCAGGCCCAGATCTCCACCTCCAGGCCCATAACTACACTCCAGGATCATATCTCCACTCCAAGCCCATATCTCCACATCAGGCCCATATCTCCACTCCAGTCCCATATCTCCACACCCAGGCCCATATCTCCATTCCAGGCCCATATCCCCATCCTAGGCCCATATCTCCACCGTAGGCCCAGATCTCCACTCCAGGCCCATATCTCCACTCCAGGGCCATATCTCCACTCCAGGCCCATATCTACACACCAGGCCCATATCTCCACCCCATGCCCATGTCTCCACTCCAGATCCATATCTCCACCCCACGCCCATATCTCCACTCCAGGCCCATATCTCCAACCCACGCCCATATCTCCACCTCCAGGCACATATCTCCACCCCACGCCCGTATCTCCACTCCAGTCCCATATCTCCACTCCCGGCCCATGTCTCCACCCCATGCCTATATCTCCACTCCAGTCCCATATCTCCACTCCAGGCCCATATCTCCACTCCAGACCCATATCTCCACTCGGCCCATGTCTACACTCCAGGCCCATATCACCACCTCCAGGCCCATATCTCCACTCCAGGCCCATATCTCCACCTCCAGGCCCGTATCTCCACTCCAGACCCATATGTCCACTCCAGGCCCATATCTCCACTCCAGGCCCATATCTCCACTCCAGGGCCATATCTCCACTCCAGGCTCATATCTCCACTCCAGGCCCATATCTCCACTCCAGGGCCATATCTCCACTCCAGGCTCATATCTCCACTCCAGGCCCATATCTCCACTCCAGGGCCATATCTCCACTCCAGGCCCAGATCTCCACCTCCAGGCCCGTATCTCCACTCTAGTCCCATATCTCCACTCCAGGCCCATATCTCCACCTCCAGGCCCATAACTTCACTCCAGGCCCATAACTCCACTCCAGGCCCATATCTCCACCTCCAGGCCCATATCTCCACTCCAGGGCCATATCTCCACTCCAGGCTCATATCTCCACTCCAGGCCCATATCTCCACTCCAGGGCCATATCTCCACTCCAGGCCCAGATCTCCACCTCCAGGCCCCTATCTCCACTCTAGTCCCATATCTCCACTCCAGGCCCATATCTCCACCTCCAGGCCCATAACTTCACTCCAGGCCCATAACTCCACTCCAGGCCCATATCTCCACCTCCAGGCCCATATCTCCACTGCAGACCCATATCTCCACTCCAGGCCCATATCTCCACTCCAGGCCCAGATCTCCACTCCAGGCCCAGATCTCCACTCCAGGCCCAGATCTCCACCTCCAGGCCCCTATCTCCACTCTAGTCCCATATCTCCACTCCAGGCCCATATCTCCACCTCCAGGCCCATAACTTCACTCCAGGCCCATAACTCCACTGCAGACCCATATCTCCACTCCAGGCCCATATCTCCACTCCAGGACCATATCTCCACTCCAGGCTCATATCTCCACTCCAGGCCCGTATCTCCACCTCCAGGCCCATAACTTCACTCCAGGCCCATAACTCCACTCCAGGCCCATATCTCCACTCCAGTCCCATATCTCCACTCCAGTCCCATATCTCCACCCTAGGCTCCTACCTCCCCTCCAGGTTCCTATCTCTCCTCCAGGTTCCTCTCTCCACTCCAGGTTCCTATCCCCACTCCAGGCCCATATCTCCACTCCAGGCCCAGATCTTCACTCCAGGCCCAGATCTCCACTCCAGGCGCAGATCTCCACTTCTAGGCTCATCACTCCATCTCTAGGCCCAGATCTCCACTCCAGGCCCATAACTCCACCTCCAGGCCCATATCTCCACCTCTGGGCCCAGATCTCCATCCCCACGCTCCCTCCCTCTATTCCCTTCCAGGACTCACCAACACACGCCATGATGATGACCATGAGCGACATGGTGCTGCCGGTGCAGACAGGCGGCCGCGCCCCAGCTCAGCTCAGCAGCGCACAGGATGTTATTTGGCGCCCTGCCCATGCAGTTTACATGTTGACCACATCATGGGAGGGTGACGTACGCAGGCTTTTTCTACCTTGCATGAGGCCCAGTGGGTGCTCGCTCAAGAGCAGAACATGGCTTCCTGGAAATTGCTCTCACTAGAATTGACACCTCGCGTCCTTCACTATGACCAACTCAAAACATGTCTTAGATCCAACCTCCCAAACATGAGATGCCTAAAATCTGTGCTAACATGAAAGACTTTTCATGAATTTTTATTGTTTTTATCTGAGATTCGAACTCTTCTTCCTGTGTAATATGCAAAATATCTAATAGGTATTATTAGTGTTTTCAGAGTCATTGTGACTAATAAACCATTAGAATTGTTCATGATTGTATTTCTAGTATTACAGCAGAACCAGTTCAAATGATTTAAATTCCCAGGGAAGGATTATGCAATTATTTACAATCTTAGAATTGTACTTTATCAGCAAAAACCACACATGTAAATTCTGGATTTTTGTAGTTTTATCTATAATTTGTCTCATGACTCAAGATTCCAGAGTCCCAACTCTGGAGTTTGCTCTCTCTCTGTCTCTCTGCCTCCCTCATTTTAAATTTTACAGAAATATCCAGTAACATAATGCTATAGAAAATCAAGTTTCCCCCAGCAGGTCGGGAAGCCGAGGTGGGCGGATCAACTGAGATGAGGAGATTGAGAGCAGCCTGGCCAACACAGTGAAACCGCGTCTCTGCTAAAAATTCAAAAATTAGCCATGCCTGGTGGCAGGCACCTGAAACGCCAGCTACTCAAGAGACTGAGGCACGAGAATCGCCTGAACCTGGGAGGCGGAAGTTGCAGTGAGCTGAGATTGCTCCACTACAGTCCCGCCTGGGCGACAGAGCAAGACTCCGCCTCAAGAAAAAAAAATAGCAAGTAGCCTATAATAACAAATTAGAGGGCTCTGGCTACTAAATTTAAAGGGTTTTATAAGGCTACATGAAGTGCAGCATCCTCAAGAGTGTGGACACAGAGAGCCCCTTAGCAGAAACAGTGTCTAAAATACATCCGTGTACACACAGTCCCTTTAGAGTTGACAAAGGCTGCCGTGTGGTTTAAGGTGGCATAGAATGTCTTCTTAATAAATAATATTAAACCAAAGGGTTACACGTAGGAAAAAATAAATCTAAACTTATTCTCACACTATAAAAACACTTCTTACTTTTTATCTAGTTATTGTACATTTTTTATGATTTATATTTAAAATTGAGAAATAAAAGTCATATACGGTCATCCTTTACTATTCGTGGGTGATTGGTTTCAGGATCTCCACTCAGGTACCAAAATCTGCAGATGCTCAAGCCTCTTACATAAAATGACACAGCATTTGGATATAACCCATGCACATCCTCCTGTATACATGAAATCATCTCTTGATTACTTATAATTCCTGATACAGCCTACACACTGCCTCATTTGTGTCCATTCAACATAGTTTTGCATTTTGAAACTTTGTGGACATTTTCTCTGAATATTTTTGATTTACACTTGGTTCAATAAACACCTGTAAACCCCACAGATATGGAGGAGCGACTGTATATTTATAGTATGAAATATGATGTGTTGATATGTGTCCCCGTGGAGATGAGACTAGCAAGGCTTATGACTCTACAAATGTTTCATCGTGGAATGACTCTGCCAGCTTTCCAGGTTGCAGAGAGTAAGAATATCACTTGTTCATGTGATTCACGATCCTTGGAACCTCCTATGTGCTGCATCTTTGGATGGAAATTGGAGTCCCAGAGACAAATGAGGCTCCACCCTGCTTCCAGAAGCTCAGAGTCCAGGGGTGAGAACCCAGCGGAGAACAGATGGGGTTATGTGGACATGGTAATGATAACAGCGGTTTCTTTCAGCGAATACAGTGTCACATTACCTGAAGCAATGAGGGCAGACATGTTTATTTGAAGAGGAGACAGCTACATTGAAATCACAAAAAATTTTATAAGTTTCACTGCTGACAGAAGGCTGGAAAATAGTCCGAAGAAAGGTGAAACAGCATGAGGGAAGGTGGAACAGCACGTGGGTAAGTGCCACGTCAAGAGGGAGCCTCTTGTATGTTTGGAATTGTGAGTTCCTCAGTGTGATTGCAGCCTCAAGTAGACTAGGAAGTAAGCCAGTTAGGTTGGAGAGGTGGGCAGGGGTCAAGTGAAATGGAGAACTGTGGGCTAAGCAAAGGAGTGTGTTTTCTTTCCAGCAGGCAGTGGGGACCTAGACATTTGTAAGCAAGAGAGAGGCACCAGATTTGTGGCGTGAGGAGGAGCGATGCCCTAAGATGAAGACTCACGCCTTCAGATTCCAGCTGCTGGTACATGGGAGCTGGCAACTCGGTTTTGAGACAGGGCTGTTGTCTCCCTAGAAGACGTCCTCAAGGCCTGACTGTGGTGCTCATGGGCAGGAGACAACTTTGGATCTGGGCTTAGCATTTGGAAGTTCCGTGTACAAGATGGTATCTGTAGGGGGTGTCTTGGGCCTCTGAGAAGGGCGAGTGATTTTTCTCTGTGTGAAAACGCAGTGATCCAACTGTGCGTATGTCACCTCCTCAGGGTCTTGTTCATCAGAGTCCTGGAGAGAGGGAAATGCTGAGTGAGGGAGGGAAATGCTGAGTGAGGGAGGGTGCTCACGTTTTCCAGGACTGTTTGGGAATAACACTAGCCACGAGGCTGGGCCGAGGAGCACCTACCTCGCTGTTGGCTGTTCTGTTCCCTGCAGGCTCTTGGTCCATTACAGCAGCATCTGTAGGAGACGGAAGTCAACAAAAGAGCTCGGAGGGCACTTCTGGGTCCTCATTTCATAAGCAGATACCAACAAACAGGGGGAGGCCATAGGTGCCTGAGGTCCCTCAGTTGCCAACAGCAGACTCAGACATTCTATCTCTCTGAGCTCAAGGACCCATCCCATGAATAGCTCTGAGTTCCCATCCCATTGATTCTGTCTCCCACTTTCTGCCTGTCATGGAACCTTCTCCTGGATGTGAGTGGCTGCAGGGGACATGAGGATACAGTTCAGAATCAGGCAACGGTCTGTGAGCTGAAGGCAGGGGCAGGGAGTCTGGTGCTCTCTCTAGAAAGTCCTGCCTCTGTGGCTCCTGTCTTGGGCCAGGGACCATCCTGCCAGTGAGGAACACACAGCTGTGTGCTCCCATCCTGCTTCCCCACATGGCCCTGAGCTCTCTGGCCTGTGCCCCGTGAGACTTACTTTTTTTGTTGGAGCACCAGAGATGAAGGAGAAAGAAGAGGAGGAGGATGAAGAGGATGATGACCACTGAGGTCCCAATCAGAATGTGCAGGTGTCTGGGGTTACCTGGAAGAAGAGGAGACACCAGTAAGAAGCTAATCATAGCAGTTTCTCTATATGAATTGTCTTGCATTTCTTGATTGACAGGTAACCACTTACAGCATCTCTTTCGGACAAGCACCCAGATGGCGGGAGATCTAGCTTCCTCCTGCTTTCTCAGTTATAGCTCTCATAGTAACCATGGAACGTGCTGAGGATACAACTACTTTAGTTGAGATGTTTGACCCCTTCAAACCTCACATTGAAATTTAACCCCCAGTGTGGGAGGTTGGGCCTCTTGGGAGGTGTTTGGGTCATGGAGGTGGATCCATCATGAACAGATCAATGCTGTCCCAAGGAGACGGGGTTAGCAAGTTCCCTCTCTATTAGTTCCTGGAGAGCTGGTTGTTAAAAAGAGCTTGGAAGCTCCATTGCTCCCCCTCCCCCTTGCTCCCTCTCTTGCCGTGTGATCTCTGTGGTCTCTGCACAGACAGACCCTCCTTCCCTTCTGCCAGAGTGGGAGCGGCCTGAGGCCATCATAAGAAATAGATGCTGGTGCCATGCTTCCAGTACAGCCTGCAGAACGGTGAGGCAAACCAATCTCTTCTTTAGAAGTTACCCAGGCTCAAGTGTTCCTTTAGAGCAACAAAAATGGACTAAGACAGCAAAGTCCTGAGATCAGGAGGATTGTCCCAGAACAGCCTGGGCTGTCTTCCTGTTCTTCCTGGAGGAGGACGTCATGCAGTGCTTTAGCTGAGTGCTTCCTGTGGCTCCAGGGTACAAAACCCAGGCTGGGCTGCTTTCTGGCTTCCCCCAGCTACACTGCAAATGGGGTGACTCCACATGTCTCGAGCAGCTTTTCTGAGCCTTGGGGAACTGGCTCACATTGAAATGTAGGCTTCTGTTGTCACTCGCTGCTTATCTGTTAGTAATGAACCTGCCTATGTAACGTATTCTCTGTGTGTTCTGTCTCCCTGGAGTGACGGTGAGTGATAGGAATTGGCATAGGCCCAGGTGCAGTCCAGGAGGTGTTTAGAGTCTTCTCTGGGAAGACTGGACTGGGATTGATACACAGCGAATGTGCTTTAGGATTTCTACATCCACGGCATTCTTGAGTTAAACAACTTGCATTCTCCAAGAAAAGGAAACAAAAGTGAAATCAATATAAAAAAAGCGAAGTAGAATTCTCTTATGTCAAACAGCCAGAAAATAGTGTTGAAGCCCGTGTGAAATGTGCTACTCTTTGTGATCTCGGGAGACACATGTTAGGCTGCTGTTCTACCTCAGAGGCTGGGGGAAGGACCACCCCCTCGACTATCTATTGCTTCAATACCACCTGTCCTCCTGTGAATTAGTAGGAAAGGGGAGCAGGAGCTAGTGCTGGCACTGATCTCTGATTCCAAGATCTGGACTCACTCCAAGGAGTATTAGCATTTACCTCCCCATGATCTATCTGTATTTCCACAGGTGATTGGAAGTAGGGGTGAGATGGGGGATTTGGGTGAGGGGGCAAGTTTTTTTTGTGATGACCAGAGCACTTTCTCTATTCCAGGATTTGTGCTGGAGGATTCAGCGGGCTTTCACATTTTCTATATGATCTCATGCTCACAGAAAGCCAAATACGGAAGAGGTTTTAGGCTGATTGCCTAATGGATAAGATAAAGGATCAAAGAAGTAATTATAGAGAAATAGAAAAATGATGATGGGAATTCAGGTGCCTTTGTCATTCGTGTGTGTTTTATTATATTTATGCATTTCTTATTTTTATTTTTTGAGATGGAGTCTCCTTGTGTCACCCAGGCTGGAGTGCAGTGATGCGATCTCCACTCACTGCAACCTCCACCTCCTGGGTTGAAGTCATTCTCCTGCTTCATCCTCCAGAGCAGGAGCTGGGATTACAGGGATGCACCACCATGCTCGGCTAATTTTTGTATTTTTAGGAGAGATAGGGTTTCACCATGTAGAGATAGGGTTTCTCCATGTTGGCCAGGCTGGTCTCGAACTCCTGACTTCTTGGAATCCACTGGCCTTAGCCTCCTGCAGTGCTGGGTTACAGGAGTGAGCCACCGTTCACAGACTTGTATACTATGCTATAATAGGTCCCTTCATTTCCACCACCCCTCATATATCTGTCACTCCTTTGCCAGGTATTGATTTATGTGTAGGAGGAATAAATCTCAGAAAGAAATTAATTTAGCAAGGATTAAACAACTAGGAAACTCAAACCCAGCAAGCCCTCCCTGCAAATGATTCTACCTCCCAAACATAGCTTATATCCATCTGCTTCATCCACTTAGGGTCTAAATCAGCACCACATTTCACCAGTGGGGCGGCAATTGCCTTTTCCACTGTCTCCTAGATTCCAGTTACGCACCTGGGCCTCCCTTATTTTCATGTCAGTCACTATTAATCATGTAGGGATTCCTGGCTACCCCGAGGTGAATCCAATGGCTGTGAGTGTCAAACACACACTCCTTGTTGCTCCTTAGTTTCCTGTGTACCCAGTGTGCTCTCCGTCTCTCCACAGTCGTCTTGTCATTCTCCCCACCTCATTCCCAGCATTTCAGGCAGAGCCTCTTCCTTCCACATCAGATTGTTTTCAGCTTTCTGCCTTCACGGCTGACAGCTGTGTGTGGAAAATCCTTCCGCCAATCTTTCAGGGGTTCAATCCGTGTTTTTCATTAATGTCACAAATATCTGATTAGTGAGACCTTCTCTGTCACCCAAAATTATACACTCAGCATTATCTATTATTTATTTTGAATTCTGGCTGGGCAAAGTGGCTCACGCCTGTAATCCCAGTACTTTGGGTTGCTGAGATGGTCGGATCACTTGAGGTTGGGAGTTTCAGACAAGCTTGGCCAACATGGTGAAACATCCTCTCTACAAAAAATATACAAAAAGAATTAGCCGGGCATGGTGGCAGTTGCCTGTAATCCCAGCTACTCGAGAGGGTGAGGCAGGAGAATCACTTGGATCCAGGAGACGCAGGTTGCAGTGAGCCAAGATCGTGACACTGCACTGTAGCCTGGAAGACAGAGGGAGACTCTGTCTCAATAAATAAATGAACGAACAAACAAATAGATTTCATGCACAGATGCTTCCCAATGGATCATTCATTTATTGGTCCACTTGTGCATTCATTTTCTGTCCTCCCATTTAACCATCTGCAATATCAGTGTCCCAAGAGCAGAGGCCAAATGCATCTTGTTCACCGTTCGTGGAAGGCAGGAGAATGCTGTCCCACCCCAAAATGTCCCTGTCCTGGCCTCCATAGCTTGTGAATATCTTATTTTACATGGAAAGAAGGAATGAAGATTGCAGATGGAATTACGGTTGCTAGTCAGCTGAACTTAAAACAAGGGTATCCTGAATGATTTCCGGGAGATTATGATGGATTTTCATCTTGGTGAACCCAATAGAATCCCCAAGTTTTCAAAAGATAAGGAAGAAGGGAGAGCAGCATTCAGAGAAAGAGGTGTGGTAAGGAAGAAGGGTCTGAGTGATGCCATGTGAGATGTGACCAGTCTTTGTGGGCTTTGAGGAAGGAGGAAGGGGACCAGGAGCCAAGGAACTGGGAGCCTTTAGAAGCTGGGACAAGTGAGAAGCAGATTCTTGCCTGGAATCCTCAGAGGGAAGGCAGCCTTGCTGTCACCTTGATTTTAGCCCAGTAAGATGCACTTCCTACTTTGAGCTACAGCACTGTAAGATAATTAAAAAACCGTTTTGTTTTCACCCACGAATCTTGTGGAAATTTGTTATGGCAACAATAGGAAAGGATTCCAACTGCACAGCCTGAGCATGGGGCCGTGGCTGAATGAGTCAGTGAGTCGAAGTGTGCGTGCATGAGCTCTGTTCTCTGTTACGGCAAGGCTCTTGCTCTGCTGAGTCAGCCAGGGTTGCTTCATGACCAACAGTAATTCATTCCTTGGCAAGTGGAACTTCTCTAAAACACCTCGCCCTCATCAGATGTTCCCTTCCCTTCCCTCTCTCAAGTCCCCAGGAATTTATCCTCCAGTTAGGAATGCAGGAAGAAAAAACACTGCATGTTTCCTGAGAAGGATGTCAGATTGGCAATCATTCTTCTAGCTTGTAGGAGGTCTCACCTGCAGGACATTAAAGGTTAAGAGACTTCGCTGAGCCCTTTGGTGGCCCTAGATCCCTTTCACTGTTGGAGTGTCTGGAGTTCAGAGATGGTGGAAGACAGGCCCTCATTCACAGAGCTGGGAGGTTTGAGCCAACACTTGCATCCAAGGCTTCCACCTCCCCAGGTTTCCAAAAGCAGAGATAAGAGGGGTCCTTTACTCACCAGATTTGGAGCTTGGTTCTGTGGGTGAAGGCCAACTACTTGAAGGGTTTCCTAGAACATGGGACAGGAGAGATGTGAGGAAATGAGGGTGCTTGTCCTCTACTCAATGGAAATCTTTGAGGTTGGTTCATGGCCAACACTCTGTTATCTAATGTTGGACCCTGGGAGTCTTGGGATCCTCTTCTCCATAATTTTTGTGTGCGATGCCCACTGTCTTGAGACTTGAAGGTATAAAGAGAAAACAGGAGCATCACACTACCTGACTTAGAAATATGTTACAGAGCTGTAGTAAGCAAAACAGCATGACATTGGCATAAAGAAAGGCACATAAAAAATGAAACAGAATGGAGAACACAGATATAATCCATGCATTTACATCCAATGGCTTTTTTTGTGTGTGTGTGTGATAGAATCTTGCTCTGTCATGCAGGCTGGAGTGCAGAGGTGCAATCTCAGCTCAATGCAACCTCCACTTCCTGGATTCAAGCAATTCTCTTGCCTCAAACACCCGAGTAGTGGTATTACAGGCACTGGTCACCATGCTCAGCTAATTTTTGTATTTTTAGTAGAGACGAGGTTTCACTCTGTTGGCCAGCCTGGTCTTGAACTCCTGGCTTCAGGTGATCCACCCGCCTCGGCCTCCCAAAGTGCTGGAATTGCAGGTGTGAGCCACCATACCCAGCCCATTTAATGGACTTTGACAAAGGTGCCGAGAACTTACAATCAGGAAAGGACAGTCTTTTCAATAAATGGTGTGGGGAAAACTGGATATCTACATGCAGAGGAATAAAACTGCATCTATACCTGTCACCATACACAAAAATCAAATGAAAATGGATTAAAAACATGAGTCTAAGGCCTGAACCTATGAAACATGTAGAAGAAAATAATGGGGAAGACATTTGTCTGACGAAAGACATTTTGTTTAAAACCTTCAAAACACAAGTAATCAAAGCAAAAAATAGACCATTAGGATTACATCAAACCAAGCAACTTCTGCACCACAAAAGATAAACCAAGAAAGTGAAGAGACAACCGACAAAATAGGAGCAAATATTTGCAAACTATTCATCTGAGACGGGATTAATAACTGGAAATATAAGAAGCTCAAACAACTCAATAAAACAATTTAATTAAAAAACGAGCAAAAGACATGAGGAGACATTTCTCCACAAACAAAACATAGAAATGGCGATCACGTATATGAAAAAGTACTCGGCATCACTCATCATCAGAGAAATGTAAATTACAATCGCGATGAGTTTTCATCTCATCCCATTAAAATGCCTTTTAGGCCGGTGGCTCACGCCTGTAATTCCGGCACTTCAGGAGGCGGAGGTGGGCGGATCACCTGAGGTCGGGAGACCAGCCTGACCATCATGGAGAAACTCCCTCTCTACTAAACATACAAAAATTAGCTAGGCGTGGTGGCACATGCCTGTAATCCCAGCTACTTTGGAGGCTGAGGCAGGAGAATCAGTTGAACGCGGGAGGCGGAGGTTGCAGTGAGCTGAGATCACACCCTTGCACTCCAGCCTGGGAGACTATGAGTGAAACTCCATCTCAACATAAATAAATAAATAAAATAAAGTAAAGTAAAATGGCTTTTACTGCAAGACAGGCAAAACAAATGCTGGCAAGATGGTAGAGAAAGGAGAACCCTGGTACCCTGTTGGTAGGAATGTAAATTAGTACAACTATTATGGAGAAAAGTATGGAAATTCTTTAAAAAACTAAAAGGAGGCTGGGCATAGTGGCTTATGCCTGTAACTTCAGCACTTTGGGAAACCGAGGCAGGCACCTCACTTGAGGTCAGGAGTTTGAGAGCAGCCTGCCCAAAATTGGGATATCCCGTCTGTGCTAAAAAAATACAAAAATTAGCCAGGCATGGTGGCGTGCACCTGTAATCACAGCTACTAGGGAGGCTGAGTCAGGACAATCATTTGAACCTAGGAGGCACAGGTTGCAATGAGCCAAGATTTCACCACTTAGACTCCAGCTTGGACTAAGGAGGGAAACTCTTTCTCAAAAAAGAAAAAAAAAAAAAGAGAACTTTCATAGTGTCCAGCAATTTCACTACTGGGTTTATATCCAAAGGAAAGGACATCAGTGTATCGAAGTGATATCTGCACTCATATGACTGTTCCAGCACTGTTCACAGTAGCCAAGATGTGGAGTCAACCTACCTGCCCATCAGTGGGTGAATGGATAGAGAACTGTGGTACACACACACAGTGGAGACTACTCATCCATAGAAACAATAACATCCTGTCATTTGCAGCCACATGGATGGAACTGGAGGTCATTACAAAGATTCCCATTTCTCACCCACATGCAGGAGATAAAAGGTGGATCTCATGAAGGTGGAGAATACAATGGTGGACACCAGAGGCCAGGAAGGGAAGGGTGGAGGGTAACAAAAAAAAGAATATAGATGTATTTATTTATTTAGAAACAGAGTCTCTCTCTGTCTCCCAGGCTGCAGTGCAGTGGCATGATCTCGGCTCAGTGCAACCTCTGCCTCCTGGGTTTAAGTGCTTCTCCTGCCTCAGCCTCCCAAGTAGCTAGGACTACAGGTGCATGCCAGCATGCTCGGCTAATTTTTCTTGTCTGTTTAGTAAAGATGAATTTCCCACATGTTGGCCAGGGTGATCTCGAGTTCCTGATCTTAAATGATCCACCTTCCTTGGCCTCTCAAAGCGCCGAGATTACAACCGTGAACCACCACACCCAGCATATAAAGGTATTTATGACCACTAGATTTTACTTTTAAAAATGGTAAAGGTGGTAAATTATATAGTTACATTTAACCTCAATAAATATTTTTGAAAATGAAAAGAAAAGGGTGTAGGGGTTGCTGGTGATGATATCTCTCTGTGTGGGTGAGAGGCCATGATGGGCTTCTGGGAAATGGATAAGATTGAGGGGCTGAGGGAACCTCTGATCTCCCCAAACTAAGCCCAGTCTCCCCTTCTCTGGGTCTGTCCTGACCGCTTTCTCCATCTGCCTGGGTGCCTGGAGCCCTGATCGGAGGCCTCCATGCAGGCCATGAAGGAGGGTTTGGAGGTGCCCTGTCTGCCATCCTGCGCCCTGACTCCGCCCTCACACCTGCTGTGTCTTCTCTCTGCATCTGTCCATGCTTTTCTCCATCATCAGCAGGAAGCTCCTTAGCTAAGGATTTAGGATCATAGGACATGAGAGAGATATGGGCTTTTCTCACCTGTGACAGAAACAAGCAGTGGGTCACTCGGGTCTGACCACTCGTAGGGAGAGTGACGGAAAGAGCCGAAGCATCTGTAGGTCCCTCCGTGGGTGGCAGGGCCCAGAGGGAAATCTGCCTGGAATGTTCTGTTGACCTTGCGCACTGCAGGGAGCCTACGTTCATGGGCTCCCCCCTCCCTGGATAGATGGTACATGTCATAGGAGCTCCGGGAGCTACAGGACAAGGTCACGCTCTCTCCTGCCTGAACCTTGGGGCCCGGCTGGGCTGAGAGAGAAGGTTTCTCATATGGACCTGGAAGGAGAAGAGGCAGTTTCCTCAGGGAGGTTCTTCCTTGTCATAGCTCCCCTCATACCTGAGCTGAGAACTCACTCCCCTGCTCTATGACCTAATGCTCTCTCTCTCTCTCTCACCCTCCACCCCATCTCTCTTCATATCTGTTTCCTCCTTCTACCTTTTCTGTCTCTCTAGGTCTATGACCTCACTTCCCCACCCTGAGGTATGTTTTCCCTTTTTGGATTGTTTTATTCTCTCTGACCCTCCTTGGATTGGTTGACTTGATCTTCCTTTTTCTTTAATTTTGAGTCTCTCACTTTCTGTCTTGTTCATAACTTTCTGCACATTTCTATCTATTTATCTATTTTGTGTCTATCTACAAATTATCTATCATCTATATTTATGTATCACTTATCTATCTCTCTATCAATTGTCTGTCTGTCTATCTATCCATCAATCATCTATTATCTATATATGTATCATCTATCTCTCTCTCTATTACCTCTCTGTCTGCCTCTCTGTCTCTATTTATGTATCATCTATGTATATATCTATGTGTCTATCATCATCATCGTCATCTCTATGTATCATCTATCAGTCATCATCTATGTATCTATAACCAATCCATTATCTATCATCTACCTATTTATCATCTATCTACGTCTATCTATCCATCTATCATCTCTCTCTCTCCGTCTCCTTGTCTTTCTCTGCCTCTCAGTCTCTCTAGTTCTATTTGGAATCTCTGCAATCCATCCCCACATATTTATCTTTCTCTGTCTTTGTGTCCCTCCCTCAGGGTTCTGATTTTGGGGCTTTTCTCTCCTCCTTTCCATCATTCTCTCCATTCTGCCCTCTTTTCTTTCTTTTTATGTGTCTGTGAATCTCTTAATCTCCTTCTTCTGGCTCATTTTGTGTGTGTTTATGTCTTTGCTTTTTGGTGTCCCTGATTTTTCTCTGTGTCTCTCAGCGATCCTATCATATGTGGGATTATTTGGAATATGAGCCTCAGAATCCAGTCTGGGGACCCCAAGTTCACACAGCATACAGGGGTTGGTGTTCAGGGGCCATGATATCCTGGGATGATTACTCTCCATTGCATGGAAGGCAGAGGTGTCAGAATAAACACGGCATCTGTAGGTGGCACAAGGCCTGAGGCCACAGGGCCCAACTCAGGTCAGAAATATGGGTGTCCTTGGGTTCTTCTGGTAGGAACACTTTGTGGAGGTAAAACAGAAATGAAACTTCTAACCTGTGCCAGGTCTCTGAGCAAAGTCAGCATGGAAGGACACCTCTCTCTGGGACATGTCTGTCTGTCTGAGTGTCTCCTTTACCTCTTTCTCTCTTTTCTACCTCCCTGTATGGCCCCTGTGTCTGTCCTCTGTTATGACACCTGTTCTGTACTTATGTCTCCTGTTTCTCTGTCTCTGTTGGTACAGACCTCACCAAGTCACTCTCTTTCCATAAGAATCCCACACTTATCTTCCTCATGACCACCTGGGGGTTCCAAGTCCTGGATCATTCACTCTGTGTCCCAGTGACAATGAGAACAATGTCTAGACACTCTCACCTGTGACCACGATGTCCAGGGGATCACTGGGAGCTGACAACTGATAGGGGGTGTGAGTAACAGAACCGTAGCATCTGTAGGTCCCTGCAAGGGCAAGCATCATGGGACCGATGGAGAAATTGGCCTTGGAGACCCCATCATGGATCTGTCCAACGAGGCGTGAGGGGTCCTTAGAGATCCCCTCTTTGTGCAGAAAGAAGTGCTCAAACATGATATCTGACCAACATTGCAGGATGACTCTCTCTCCTGATTTCACCAGGGGACCTGGGTGGGCCAGGAGGGAAGGTTTTCTGTGGTTTCCTAGAAAGAGAAGTTGTGAGTTTAGAAGGCATCTCTCTTTATCATCCCATCCATGGCACCTGGAATGAGTGAGGGTTCCCCTCCCCGTGTCTGTCTCTCTCCTCCCTCTCTGCATCTCCGTGTCTTTTCTGTGCCCATATCCCCTGGTGCAGGTGCCTCCATCTGTCTTCCTCCCTCTTCTCTGTCCCTCTGTCTCCAGTAGCCCCTGACTCCCTTGCCACTGTGAAGACAGCCTCATCTCTTGGGCTGTTGTATCTGTTTCCCACTAATCTCTTTCCTGCTGTCTATGTGGGGGTGGAAGAGGACAGGCTGCATGTCCAGGCTCTTAGCAGCCTGAATCAATCTCTTTTGAACAAATCCCCAGTTCAAGTGATTCTCTTGCCTCAGCCTCCCCAGTCGTTGGATTACTCGTGCCCACCACCACATCTGGCTATCCTTGTTTGGTTTCCTAACTTGTCCTTGACCTGGGTTCCTGTGTTGGTTTCCTGTTGCTGCTGCAGAAAATTACCACAAACATGGCAGCGGGAGAGAACACACTGACCCCTTCCACTTCTGGAGACAGAAATTGGATCCAGTTCTCCCTGTGCTGAAATCAAGGTGTCTACAGGGCTGCGTTCCCTCTGGAGAATCAGCGAATCAGTTCTCTTGACTTCTCCAGCCCTTAGAGGCCACCTGCATTCTGTGACTAGTGGTCTTCCTCCACCTTCAAAGCCCGCAGTGGCTGATAGCGTCTCCCTCCCACTACACTGCTCTAATCCCCACTCCCCTCTTCCTCCACCTCTCATGTGGACCCTTGTGATTACACTGAGCCCAGTGGGACAGTCCAGGCTGTCTCCCCATCTCAAGGTCAACTCATCAACAACCTGAGCTCCACCTTCCCCTTCAGTCCCCTGCCCTGTAACATAAATAGTCACAGGCTCCAGGGATTACAATGTAGCCATCATTGGGGACAGTGATTCTTCCCACCACAGCACCCATTTCCCCTGTATTCAATCTCCCTTGACCCCAAATACAGTCAGGGCCTGGGTGATGGGACCCTGACGGACACCCCCACCAGAAGCTCTGGGATTCAGGAGGTGGGACAGTGAGAAGCCCAGACGGAAAGCCTCTGACCTGTGACCATGATCACCACGGGGTTGCTGGGTGCCGACCACCCAGTGGGGGAGTGTGGGTGTGAACCCCGACATGTGTAGTTCCCTGCATGTGCTGTGGTCACAGGGCTCATGTTGAAGCTCTCCTGGAATATTCTGCCATGGAAGATGGGAATGTGGATTCTGTCTTCTTTGTATAGCATGAAATTGTTAAACCTATGACGATAGTGACACCGAAGAGTCACGTGTCCTCCTCGAGGCACCACAGCGCTGGGCCAGGCAGACAGGAAGGGTTTGTCCTGACCACCTGGGGGAGAAGGAGGCACTGCCTTAGAGAGGAGGATGTGGAGCCGCCCCTCACTCCCAGTGCCCAGAAGATTCTCCCCATTTCCACTTTCTAAGGCTCCTACCACACCTGGGTGCCCAGGGCTACAGGAAGGACCCATCCTGCATAGACTTGGCGTCTCCCTACAACAAGTGTCAGCTGAGAACTTTGAGCAAGTTGCTGGAGAAGCAACTCTTACTAGATTTTAATACTGCAAAATTACTCATATAAAACAACACAAAGTAGACACGGCATGGAGGGCAAGTCCTATGTGAATGGAATATCAGCCAATTGATGAACTGAGCCCCCATCAGAGGATTTGGAATGTCAGGGCCATGGCTGTGGTTTCCTCACCTTTTCTGGTAGAAAGACCGCAGCCACACTGCAGCCCCTACCATCACGGAAACGCTGGAGGGTGTGAGTTACACCTTTGTCCTCAGAGGACCTGCTGTTCCTAGCACTGCTTCCCTCTCTTTCTCTGCTGCTGACACCACTTCCTCCCTGCACACCCATCTTGGAGCACCCTAGTCTCACCCCAGTCTTCACAGAGCTTGACTCAGGAAAGGGAATGAAAGGCCGGGGAAGGCAAGGTCAGAAATGTGGGCCGAGCATCCGAGGGTCCCCTCTTCCTAGTGTATGAGAGACTCCCCGACAGGACTTCCCTCCCATTTCAGGAAAATCCTCTTATGTGGGGAGATGACACCCTAAGGTTTGGGGAAGGACTCACCCATGTGTGGACCGGCCCTCTGGACCAAGAACAACCCTAGAAAGAAAGATCATGATGGACCATCCCTCTGCAGGCAAACCAGGGCACCCTGCTGCCCCCACTGGGCTGTGCGTCTTGGCAGCCAGGCCCTTGCTGGGCTGAAGGTAAACTCACCCTCGCTGCCTACCTGCCCCCAGGAACAAGGATCTCGGCTGTGCAGAGACTGAGC
This sequence comes from Homo sapiens, assembly GCF_000001405.40. Classification (NCBI taxonomy): domain Eukaryota; kingdom Metazoa; phylum Chordata; class Mammalia; order Primates; family Hominidae; genus Homo; species Homo sapiens. The sequence continues at coordinate 119,004 of NW_016107301.1, read as the reverse complement.
CTCCAGGCCCAGATCTCTACCTCCAGGCCTAGATCTACACAACAGGCCCAGATCTCCACTCCAGGTCCGTATCTCCACTCCAGGCCCATATCTCCTCTCCAGGCTGGTAAGTCCACTCCAGGCCCATATCTCCACTCCAGGCTCCTATCTCAACTCCAGGCTCATATATCCACTCCAGGCTCATATCTCCACTCCAGGCCCATATTTCCACTCCAGGCTTCTATCTCCTCTCCAGGCCCATATCTCCTTTCCAGGCTTGTATGTCTGCTCCAGGCCCGTATCTCCACCCCAGGCCCATATCTCCACTCCAGGATCATATCTCCACTCCAGGCCCAGATCTCCACTTCATGCCCTTAACTCCACCTCCGGGCCCATAACTCCACCTCTAGGCCCATATCTCCACTCCAGGCCCATATCTCCACTTCAGGCCCATATCTCTACTGCAGGCCCATAACTCCACCTCCAGGCCCATATCTCCACTCCAGGCCCATCGCTCCACTTCTAGGCCCATCACTCCACCTCTAGGCCCACATCTCCCCTCCAGGCCCATATCTCCCCTCCAGGCCCATCTCTCCACCCCAGGCACATATCTCCACCCCAGGCCCATATCTCCACTCCAGGCCCAGATCTCCACTCCAGGCACATATCTCCACCCCAGGCCCCTATCTCCACTCCAGGCCCAGATCTCCACTCCAGGCCCAGATCTCCACTTCAGGCCCATAACTCCACCTCTAGGCCCATAACTCCACCTCTAGGCCCATATCTTTACCTCCAGGTCCAGATCTCCATCCCCGCACTCCCTCCCTCGATTCCCTTCCAGGACTCACCAACACACGCCATGCTGACGACCATGAGCGACATGGTGCTGCCGGTGCAGACAGGCGGCTGCGCCCCAGCTCAGCTCAGCAGCGCACAGGATGTTATTTGGCGCCCTGCCCATGCAGTTTACATGTTGACCACATCATGGGAGGGTGACGTACGCAGGCTCTTTCTACCTTGCATGAGGCCCAGTGGGTGCTCGCTCAAGAGCGGAACATGGCTTCCTGGAAATTGCTCTCACTAGAATTGACACCTCGCGTCCTTCACTATGACCAACTCAAAACACGTCTCAGATCCAACCTCCCGAACACGAGATGCCTAAAATCTGTGCTAACATGAAAGACTTTTCATGTATTTTTATTGTTTTTATCTGAGATTCAAACTCTTCTTCCTGTGTAATATGCAAAATATCTAATAGGTATTATTAAGGTTTTCAGAGCAATTGTGACAATAAACCATTAGAATTTTTCATGATTGTATTTCTAGTATTACAGCAGAACCAGTTCAAATGATTTAAACTCCCAGGGAAGGATTATGCAATTATTTACAATCTTAGAATTGTACTTTATCAGCAAAAATCACAACATGTAAATTCTGGATTTTTGTAGATTTATCTAGAATTTGTCTCATGTCCCAAGATTCCAGAGTTCCAACTCATGGTTTGCTCTCTCTCTGTCTCTCTGCCTCCCTCATTTTAAATTTTACAGAAATATCCAGTAACATAATGCTATAGAAAATCAATTTCCCCAGCACTTTGGAAGCCGAGGTGAGTGATCAACCGAGGTCAGGAGTTTGAGACCAGCCTGGCCAATATAGTGAAACCATGTCTCTGCTAAAAATACAAAAATTAGCCATGCCTGGTAGCAGGCACTTGTAATGCCAGCTATTCAAGAGGCTGAGGCACGGAATCCCTTGAACCTGGGAGGCGGAAGTTGCAGTGAGCCGAGATCGTGCCACTGCACTCCAGCCTGGGCAACAGAGCGAGACTCTGCCTCAAGAAAAATAAAAAAAGCATAGCAAATAGCCTATAATAAATAACTAGAGGACTCCAGCTACCAAATTTTAGGGGTTGTATAAGGCTGCATAAAATGCAGCATTCTCAAGAGAGTGGACAGAGAGAGAGCCACTGAGCAGAAAACAGTGTCTAAAATACATCCGTGTACACACAGTCCCTTTATAGTTGACAAAGGCTGCCATGTGGTTTAAGGTGGAATAGAATGTCTTCTCAATAAATAACATGGGCCCAAGGGTTACACATAGAGAAAAATATATCTAAACGTATTCTCACACTATAAAACACTTGTTTATTTTATCTTGTTATTGTAATTTTTTTATGTTTTATATTTAAAATTGAGAAATAAAAATTATATACAGTCATCCCTCACTATTCGTGGGTGATTGGTTTCAGGATCTCCACTCAGATAGCACAATCTGCAGACGCTCAAGCCTCTTACATGAAATGGCACAGCATTTGCAAATAACCCATGCACATCCTCCTGTGTACATGAAATCATCCCTTGATTATTTATAATTCCTGATACAGCCTACACACAGCTTCATTTGTGTCCATTCAACATAGTTTTGCTTTTTGAAACTTTGTGGATTTTTTCTCTGAATATTTTTGATTTATATTTGGTTCAATAAACACCTGTAAATCCCACAGATACAGAGGACCGACTGTATATTTATAGTATGAAAGATGATGTGTTGATATGTGTCCCCGTGGAGATGAGACTAACAAGGCCTATGACTCTACAAATGTTTCATCATGGAATGACTCTGCCAGCTTTCCAGGTCTGCAGAGAGTAAGAATATCACTTGTTCATGTGATTCACGATCCTTGGAACCTCTTATGTGCTGCATCTTTGGATGGAAATTGGAGTCTCAGAGACAAATCAGGCTCCACCCTGCTTCCAGAAGCTCCAAGTCCAGGGGTGAGAACCCAGTGGAGAACAGTTGGAGTTATTTGGACATGGTAATGATAACACTGGAAACTTTCAGCCAAAAAAAGAGTCACCTAAAGAATGAAGGCAGACATGTTTATTTGAAGAGGAGAGAACTACACTGAAATCAAAAAAATTTTATAAGGTTTGCTGATGCCAGAAGGCTGAAAAATAGTCTGAGGAAAGGTGGAACAGCACGAGGGAAGGTGGAACAGCACGTGTCTAAGTGCCGTGTTAAGAGAGAGCCTCTTGTATGTTTGGAATTGTGAGTTCCTCAGTGTGATTGCAGCCTCAAGTAGACTAGGAAGTAAGCCAGTTAGGTTGGAGAGGTGGGCAGGGGTCAAGTGAAATAGAGAATTGTGGGCTAAGCAAAGGAGTGTGTTTTCTCTGCAGCAGGCAGTGGGGACCTTAGACATTGGTAAGCAAGAGACAGGCACCAGATTTGTGGTGTGAGGAAGAGTGATGCTCTAAGATGGAGACTCACGCCTTCAGATTCCAGCTGCTGGTACATTAGAGCTGGCAAGCTGGGTTTGAGACAGGGCTGTTGTCTCCCTAGAAGATCCCATCAAGGCCTGACTGTGGTGCTCATGGGCAGGAGACAACGCTCTGGGCTCAGCATTTGGAAGTTCTATACACACGCTGGTATCTGTTGAGGGTCTCTTGCTCCTCTGAGAAGGGCCAGTGATTTTTCTCTGTGTGAAAATGCAGTGATCCAACTGTGCGTATGTCACCTCCTGAGGGTCTTGTTCATCAGAGTCCTGGAGAGAGGGAAATCCTGAGTGAGGGAGGGTGTTCACATTTTTCAGGACTATTTCGGAATAAGACTGTATCCATGAGGCTGGGCTAGGAGGACCTACCTCCCTGTTCACTGTTCTGTGTCCCGCAGGCTCTTGGTTCATTACAGCAGCATCTGTAGGAGACGGAAGCAATCAAAACAGCTGGGAGGGCACTTCTGGGTCCTCATTTCATGAACAGATACCAACACACAGGGGGAGGCCATAGGTGCCTGAGGTCCCTCAGCTGCCAACAGCCAGACTCAGACATTCCATCTCTCTGAGTGCAAGACCCCATTCCATGAATAGCTGTCAGTTCCCATCCCATTGATTCTATCTCCCACTTTCTGCCTGTCATGGAATCTTCTCCTGGATGTGAGTGGCTGCAGGGGACGTGAGGATACAGTTCACAATCAGGCAACGGTCTGTGAGCTGAAGGCAGGGGCAGGGTGTCTGGTGCTCTCTCTAGAAAGCTCTGCCTCTGGCTCCTGCCTTGGGCCAGAGACTTTCCTGCCAGTGAGGAACACACACCTGCGTGCTCCCATCCTGCTTCCGCACAGGGCCCTGAGTTCTCTGGCCTCTGCTTCGTGAGGCTTACTTTTTTTTTGGAGCACCAGCGATGAAGGAGAAAGAAGGGAAGGATGGTAAAGAGGATGATGGCCACTGAGTACCTAATCACAGCATGCAGGTGTCTGGCGATACCTGGAGGAAGATGGGAATCCAATAAGAAGCTAACCATAGCAGTTCCTCTTTGTGGATTGTCTCTCATTTCTTGGTTGCCAGGCAACCACATAAAACACCTCTTTAAGACAAGCACCCACGAGGCGGGAGACCCAGCTTTCTCCTGCTTTCTCCGTTATAGTTTTCATAATAACAATAGAATGTGCTGATGATACAACTGCTATTGTTTCAATGTTTGACCCCTCCAAACCCCACTTTGAAATTTAATCCCCAGTGTGGGAGTTGTGCCTATTGGGAGGGGTGTTTTGGTCATGGGGGTGGATCCATCATGAATAGATTAATGCTGTCCCCAGAGGACGGGGTTAGCAAGTTCTCCCTCTATTAGTACCCTGGAGAGTTGATTCTTAAAAAGAGCTTGGAAGCTCCATCACACCCCCTTTCTCCCTCTCTTGCCATGTGATCTCTGTGGTCTCTGCACACGCAGGACCCCCTTCTCTTCTGTCAGTGTGGGAGCAGCCTGAGGCCGCAGCCAGAAATAGATGGTAGTGTCCTGCTTCTAGTACAGCGTGCAGATCAGTGAGCCAAACACATCTCTTTTCTTTAGAAGATACCCAGGCTCAAGTGTTCTTTTATAGCAACAAAAATAGGCTAAGACAGCAACATCCTGAGATCAGGAGGAACGTCTCAGAACAGCCTGGGCTGTCTTCCTGTTCTTCCTGGAGGAGAACATCATGCAGTGCTTTAGCTGAGTGTTCCCTGTGGCTCCAGGGTACAAAACCCAGGCTGGGCTGCTTTCTGGCTTCCCCCAGCTACAGTGCACATGAAGTGACTCCATGTGTCCTGAGCAGTTTTTCTGAGCCTTGAGGGACTGGCTCACCCTGAAAGGAAGGTTTCTGTTGTCACTCGCTGCTTATCTATAAGTAATGAACCTGCCTATGTAATGTATTCCCTGTGTGTTCTGTCTCCCTGGAGTGATGGTGAGTGATAGAAATTGGCACAGCCCCAGGTGCAGTATGGGAGGTGTTTAGAGTCTTCTCTGGGAAGACTGGACTGGGATTGATACACAGTGAATGTGCTTTACAGTTTCTACATCCACAACCCTCTTGACTCAAACAAATTACATTCTCCAAGAAAAGGAAAAAACAGTGACATTGAAATCAACATAAGTGAGGTTGAGCTGTCTTATATCAAACAGCCAGGAAATAATGATGAAGCTCGTGGGCAACATGCTACTTTTGTCATCTTGGGAGTCAGATATTAGGCTGCTGTTCCACCCGAGAGTCTGGGGGAAAGACCACCCCCTCCATCATCTGTTGCTTCAATACAGCCTGTCTTTCTGTGAATTACTCCAAAAGGTGACCAGGAGATAGTGCTGGCACTGGTCTCTGAGTCTACGATCTGAACTCCAAAGAATATTAGTTTTTACCTCCCCATGATCTATCTGTATCATTAATGTGATTGGAAGTAGGGGTGAGGTGGGGGATTTGGGTGAAGGGGCAAGTTTTGTGCCATGAACAGATCACGTTCTCTATTCCAGGACCTGTGCTGGTGGGTTTCACATTTTCCATATGATCTCATGCTCACAGAAAGCCAAATAAGGAAGATGTTTTCGCCTGATTTTCTTACGGATAGGATAAAGGATCAAAGAAGTCATTATAGAGAAATAGAAAAATGATGATTGGAATTGGTGTGCCTTTGTCATTCGTGTATGTTATATTATATTTATGTATTCTTTATTTTTATTTTTTGCCATGGAGTCTCACTCTGTCACCTAGGGTGCAGTGCAATGACGCGATCTTGGCTCACTGTAACCTCTCCCTCCCTGGTTGAAGCCATTCTCCTTCTTCAACTTCCCGAATAGCTGGTATTACAGGCACGCGCCACCACCCCCAGCTAGTTTTTGTATATTTAGTAGAGATGGGGTTTCACCATGTTGTCCAGGCTGATCTCGAACTCCTGATCTCACTTGATCCAGCCTCCTCAGCCTCCCAAAATGTTGGGTTACAGGTGTGAGCCACCGTTCAGAACCTTGTGTGTTATATTATAATAGGTCTCTTCCTTTGCACCACCCCTCATGTATCTCTCACTCCTCTGCCAAGTATTGATTTACATGTAGGAAAAATAAATCTCAGAAAGAAATCAATGAAGTGAAGATTAAACAATTAGGAAAAATCAAACCAGGCAAGCCCTCCCTGCAAATTACTCTACCTCACAAACACATCTTGTGTCCATCTTTCATTCATTTAGTGTCTAAATCAGCACCACATTTCACCAGGGGGGCGGGAATTGCCTTTTCCACAGTCTCCTAGATTCCAGTTATGCACCTGGGCCTCCCTTATTTTCATGTCAGTCACTATTCATCATGTAGGGATTCCCAGTTAGCCCCGAGGTAAGTCCAATGGCTGTGAGTATCAAACACACGCTCCTTGTTGCTCCTTAGTTTCCTGTGTACCCAGTGTGCTCTCTGTCTCTCCACAGTCGTCTTGTCATTCTCCCCATGTCATTCCCAGCATTTCAGGCAGAGCCTCTTCCTTCCACATAACATTGTTTTCACCTTTGTGCCTTCACGGCTGACAGCTGTGTGGAAAATCCTTCCGCCAATCTTCCAGGGGTTGATCTATTTTTTTCATTAAGGTCACAAGTATTATTTGATCAGTGAGAACTTCTCTGTCACCCGAAATTATACACTCAGCATTATCTATTATTTCTTTTAAAATACGGCTCGGCGCCTTGGCTCACGCCTCTAATCTCAGCACTTTGGGAGGCTGAGACGGGCGGATCCCTTAAGGTTGGGAGTTTGAGATAGCCTGGGCAACATGGTAAAACCTTGTCTGTACTAAAAAAAAATACCAAAAAAAAATTAGCCAGGCGTGGTGGGACATGGGTGTAATCCCAGCCTCTCGGGAAGCTGAGTGTAGAGAATCGCTTTAACCTGGGAGGTGGAGGTTGCGGTGAGCCGAGATCCCGCCACTGCACTCCAGCCTGGGGCACAGAGGGAGACACTGTCTCATAAAAACAACCAATCAATCAATCATTCTCATGCACAGATGCTTCCCAATGGATCATTCATTTATTGGTCCACTGGTGCATTCATTTTCTGCCCTCCCATTTAATCCTTTGCAATATCAGTGTCCAAGAGCAGAGGCCAAATGCACCTTGTTTACCATTTGTGGAAAGGATAAGAATGCCGCCCCACCCCAAAATATTCCTGTCCTAGTCGCCATATCTTGTGAATATGTTATTTTACATGGAAAAAAGGAATGCAGATTGCAGATGGAATTACGGTTGCTAATCAGCTAACCTTAAAAGGAGGGTATCCTAGATGATTTTAGGGAAATTATGATGGATTATCTTGGTGTTTCCAATAGAATGCCAAAGTCCTTAAAAGATGAGGAAGAAGGCAGAGCAGCATTCAGAGAAAGAGGTGTGGACAAGGAAGAAGGGTCTGAGTGATGCCGTGTGAGAGGCGTGACCAGCCTTTGTGGACTTTGAGGGAGGAAGACGGGGACCAGGAGCCAAGGAATGTGGGAGCCTCTAGGAGCTGGGAAAAGTGAGGAAGCAGATTCTTGCCTGGAACATTCAGAGGGAAGGCAGCCTTGCTGTCACCTTGATTTTAGCCCAGTGAGATGATGCATTTCATACTTCTGAGCTACAGCACCATGAGATATTTTTTAAAAATGTGGTTTCCATCCACGAAGCTTGTGGAAATTTGTTATGGCAACATAGGAAAAGGTTCCACACTGCACAGTCTGAGCATGGGGCAGTGGCTGAACGAGTAAGTGGAAGTGTCATGTGCACGGATGAACTACGTTCTCTCTTACCGCAAAGCTCTTGTTCCACTAAGTCAACCAGGGTTGGATCATGACAGACAGGAGCTCATTCCTTGGCAAGTAGAACTTCTCTACAAATACACCACCCTCAAAAATGTTCCCCTTCCTTCCCCTTCTCAAGCCCCCAGGCATTTGTCCTCCCAGTTAGGAATGCAGGCAGAACAAACACAGCATTTTTCCTGAGAAGAATGTCTGATTTGCACTCATCCTTCTACCCTGAGGTCTCAGCAGCAGAAAATTAGAGATTAAGAGATTTCACTGAGCCCTGTGCTGGGCCCAGATCCCTTTCGCTGTTGGAGTGTCTGGGGTTCAGAGACAATGGAAGACAGGCCCACAATCACAGAGCTGGCAGGTGCTGAGCCAACGCTTGAATCCAAGGCTTCTACCTCCCCAGGTTTCCAAAAGCAGAGATAAGAGGGGTCCTTCACTTACCAGTTTTGAAGCTTGGTTCAGTGGGTGAAGGCCAACTACTAGAAGGGTTTCCTAGAACACGGGACAGGAGAGAGGTGTGGCAATGAGGATGCCTGTCTTCTACTCAATGGAAATCTTTGAGGTTGGTTCATGGCCAACATTCTATTATCTAATGTTGGGCCCTGGGAGTCCTGGCATCCCATTCTCCATAATCATTGTAGGTGACACCAACTATCTTGAGACTTCAAGGTATAAGGAGAAAACAGGAGCATCACACTACCTGACTTAAAAATATGTTACAGAGCTGTAGTAAGCAAAACAACATGACATTGGCATAAAGAAAAGCACATAAAACAATGGAGCAGAATGAAGAACACGGATGTAATCCACCCATTTACATCCAATGGACTTTGACAAAGGTTCGAAGAATCTACAATCTGGAAAGGACAGTCATTTCAATAAATGGTGCAGGGAAAACTGGATATCTACATGCAGAGGGATGAAACTGCACCTCTACCTCTCACCATACACAAAAATCAGATGAAAATGGATTAATGACTTAAGACCTGAATCCATTAAATGTCTAAAAGGAAACACTGGAGAAATGCTCCAGGACATTTGTCTGAGGGAAGACATTTTGTTTAAAACCTCAAAAACACAAGTAATCACAACAACAACAAAAAAATAGACCATTGGGATTATATCAAATCAAGCAGCTTCTGCACCGCAAAGGAAGCAACCAATGAAGTGAAGAAGAGACAACCCACAGAATGGGAGCAAATATTTGCAAACTATGCATCTGAGATGGGATTAATAACTAGAATATAAAAGAAGCTCAAACACCTCAATAAAACTAATAATTTAATTATAAAATTAGTAAAAGACCTGAACAGACATTTCTCAATGAACAAAACATACAAATGAACATATATACATTGCATATATGAAAAAGTGCTCAGTATCACTAATCATCAGAGAAATGCAAATGAAGTCACAATGAGCTATCATCTCACCCCATTACAATGGGTTTTATCTCAGAGACAGACAAAACAAATGTTGGCAAGGTGGTGGAGAAAGGAGAACCCTAATACACTGTTGATAGGAATGTAAATTAATACAGCCATTACAGAGGAGAAGAATATGGAAGTTCCTTAAAAACTAAAAAGAGATTAGGCACTGTGTCTCACGCTTGTAATCCCAGCACCTTGGGAGGCTGAAGTGGGCAGATCACTGGAGGTCAAGAGTTCGAGACCAGCCTGGCTAACATGGTGAAACCCCGTCTCTACTAAAAATACAAAAATCAGCCAGGCGTGGTGGCGGGCACCAGTAATCCCAACTACTCGGGAGGCTGAGGCTGGAGAATCACTTGAATCCTGGAGGTAGAGGTTGCAGTGAGCCCAGGTGGTGCCATTGCACTCCAGCTTGGGCAACAAGAGTGAAACGCTATGTCAAAAAAACAAAAAGCATAAAACAAAACCTAAAAAGAGAACATCCAGAGGATCTAGCAATTCCACTAGTGGGTGTAAATGCAAAGAAAAGGACTTCAGTGTATTGAAGTGACATCTGCACTCCCATGACTGTTCCAGCACTGTTCACAGTAGCCAAGATGTGGAGTCAACCTACCTGCCCATCAGTGGATGAATGGATAGAGAGAAAGTAGTACATACACACAATGGAGACAACTCATCCATACAAAGAGTAACGTCCTGTCATTTGCAGCCACATGGATGGACTGGAGGTCATTACAAGGATTGCCATTTCTTACTCACATGCAGGATGTAAAAGGTGGACCTCATGAAGGTAGAGAGTAGAATGGTGGATACCAGAGGTTAGGAAGGAAGGGGTGGAGGGTAACAAAAGAAGAATATAAAAGTATTTATTTATTTATTTAGAGACAGAGTCTCTCTGTGTCACCAGGCTGCAGTGCAGTGGCATGATCTCAGCTCACTGCAACCTCCTCCTCCTGGGTTTAAGCCACTCTCCCGCCTCAGCCTCCCAAGTTGCTGGGATTATAGGCGCCTGGCACCATGCCTGGCTAATTTTATTTTTTTTGTCTTTTTAGTAAAGATTGGTTCCCCCATGTTGGCCAGGCTGGTCTCCAGCCCCTGATTTTAAATGATCCACCTGCCTTGGCGTCTCAAAATGCTGAGATTACAGGCATGAGCCACCGCACACAGCATATAAAGGTATTTATGATCCCTAGATTTTACACTTAAAAATGGTAAAGTTGATAAATTATATAGGTATATTTAACCTCAATCAGCATTTTTTCAAAGGAAAAGAAAAAGTGTAGGGGTTGCTGGTGATGACATCTCTGTGTAGGTGAGAGGCCAGGGTGGGCTTCTGGGAAATGGGTAAGGTTGAGGGGCTGAGGGAACCTCTGATCTCCCCAAACTGAGCCCAGTCTCCCTCCTCTGGGTCTGTCCTGACCACTTTCTCCATCTGCCTGGGTACCCGGAGCCCTTACTGCAAGCTTCCATGCAGGCCATGCAGGAGGGTTTGGAGGTGCCCTGTCTGCCATCCTGTGCCCTGATCCCACCCTCACACCATGCTGCATCTTCTCTCCACATCTGTCCATGCTTCTCTCCATCATCAGCAGGAAGCTCCTCAGCTAAGGCTCTAGGACCATAGGACATGGGACAGACATTGGCTTTCCTCACCTGTGACAGAAACAGGCAGTGGGTCACTCGGGTCTGACCACTCGTAGGGAGATCCATGGAAAGAGCCGAAGCATCTGTAGGTCTCTCCGTGGGTGGCAGGACCCAGAGGGAAGTCGGCCTGGAATGTTCCATTGATGCTGGGCACTGCAGGGAGCCTAAGTTCATGGGCTTCCCCCTCCCTGGATAGATGGTAGATGTCAAAGGAGCTCTGGGAGCTGCAGGACAAGGTCACGTTCTCTCCTGCGCGAACCGTGGGGCCCGGCCGGGCTGTAAGCGAAGGTTTCTCATATAGACCTGGAAGGAGAAGAGGCAGTTTCCTCAGGGAGGTTCTTCCTTGTCACAGCTCCCCTCCCACCTGAGCTGAGAACTCACTGCCCTGCTCTATGGCCTAGTGCTCTCTCTCTCTCTCTCACCCTCCACCCCCAACTCTTCCTGTCGATCCCTCCCTATGTGGTTCCAGCCTGGTGGTGGCATCAGCAGTGCACCCTTGCTGATCTCAGGGTAGCCAACCTTCTTGTTTGGTTTTTTAACTTGTCCTTCACCTGGGTTCCTGTGTTGGTTTCCTGTTGTTGCTGGAGAAAATTATCACAAACATGGCGGCAGGAGAGAACACACTGACCCCTTCCACTTCTGGAGACAGAAATCAGACCCTGTTCTTCCTGGGCTACAATCAAGGCATCTGCAGGGCTGCATTCCCTCTGGAGACTCGGGAGAATCAGTTCCATTGATTTCTCCAGCCCCTTCGTGGCTCGTGGTCTTCCTCCACCTTCAAAGCCCACAGTGGCTGGTGGAGTATCCCACGATGCTGCTCTAATCCCCATTCTCCTCTTCCTTCTCCACTCATATGGACCCTTGTGATTACACTGAGCCCAGTGGGAGAGTCCAGGCCATCTCCCCATCTCAAGGTCAACTCATCAACAACCTGAGCTCCATCTTCCCCTTCAGTCCCCTGCCCTATAACATAGTCACAGGCTCCAAGGATTACAATGTGGCCATCGATGGGGACAGTTATTCTTTCCAACACAGCACCCATTCCCCTGTATTCAATCCCCCTTTACCCCAAATATAGTTGGGGCCTGGATGATCGGACTCTGGTGGACACCCCCACCAGAAGCTCTGGGACTCAGGAGGTGGGACAAGGAGAAGCCCAGACAGGAGCCCTCTGACCTGTGACCATGATCACCAGGGGGTTGCTGGGTGCCGACCACTCAGTGGGGGAGTGCGGGTGAAAACCTCGACATCTGTAGGTCCCTGCGTGTGCTGGGGTCACAGGGCTAATGAGGAAACTGTTCCAGAATATTCTGTTGTAGAGCTCAGGGACAGGGACCCCATCTTTCTTGTACAGCGTGAAGATGTTAAACCCACGACGATAGTGACACCGAAGAGTCACGTGTCCTCCTTGAGGCACCACAGCGCTGGGCCAGGCAGAGCAGAAGGGCTTGTCCTGACCACCTTGGGGAGAAGGAGATGCCGCCTCAGAGAGGAGTATGTTGAGCTGCCCCTCCCTCCCTGTGCTCAGAAGATTCTCCCCATTTCTTCTTTCTAAGGCTCCTACCACACCTGGGTGCCTGGGGCTACAGGAAGGACCCATCCCGCATAGACGTGGCGTCTCCCTACAACAAAAGTGTCAGTTGAGAACTGAGCAGGTGCTGAGTAAGGGACTCTTACTAGATTTTAATACTGCAAGATTAGTTACACCAAAGAACACAAAGTAGACATGGGGTGGAGGGTATGACCTTTGTGAATGGAATATTAGCTAATGCCTGAACCACAATAAACAACTGAGCTCCATCAGAGGATTTGGAATGGCAGGGTCGTGGCTGTGGTTCCCCCACCTCTTCTGGCAGAATGACAGCAGCCACACTGCAGCCCCTACCGTCATGGAAACGCTGGAGGGTGTGAGTTACCCTCTTGTCCTCAGAGGACCTGCTGTTCCTAACACTGCTACCCTTCCCTCCTCTGTCGGTGACACCACATCCCCCCACACACCCCAGCTTTGAGCACCTCAGTATCCCGCCTGGGCCACACAGAGCTCAACTCAGCCATGGGGAAGAAAGGCTGGGGAGGGCTAAGACAAAACAGAGGGCTGAGCATACCAGGATCTCCTCTTACTAGTTCATGAGAGACTCCCAGGATCTCCTCTTACTAGTTCATGAGAGACTCCCAGGATCTCCTCTTACTAGTTCATGAGAGACTCCCCCCAGGCCTTCCCATGGTCAGCCCATCAGCCCACCCTCTGTGCTGCCTCCCTCCCATTTCTGGAAAATTCACTTGTATTGGGGTGAAGATGGCAACCCATCATTTGGGGAAGGACTCACCCACGTGTGCCCACACACTCTGGTCCAAGAAGAACCCTGCAAAGAAAGATCATGATGAACTATTCATCTCGGCAGCAACCTACCCTTTCCTCCTGAGCCACTGGGCGCCACGCTGGACTGAAAATTAACTCATCCTCACCACTCACTTGCTTCAGAACATGGCTCTCTGCTGGGGAGACACCCAATCTGCAGGCCCATAGTGTAACCCTGGTGCTCCTTCCCTTCCAGGACTCACCAAGACATGCCAGGATGATGACCGTGGGTGACATGGACATGGTGCAGCTTCTGCTGCCAGGACGCAGTGACTCGGCTCGACTGACCGGTGCAGAGGATGTGGTGAGGGGCCCGGATCGTGCAGTTGACACATTGACCACAACATGTGAAGGGGACATAGGTAGGCTTCTTCTACGTCATATGAGGTTCAAGTGGTGAATCAGTCAAGGGAGGAATGAGGGTTTCTGAAAACTGCAGACTAGACTTGTCACTTCACATCATGCGCAACGGCCAGGCTCAAAACACATCTCAGACTCACTTACCCCTGCACGGGACGATTGAATTCTGCACTCACATGAGGAAATTTGATGTATTTTTTTTTGTTTCTACCTGAGATTCAAACTCTCCTTGATATGTAATATGCAAAATACCTAATAGGTTTTATTAACACTATAGAGCAATCGTATTAAATAAATCATCATAATTTTCCATGGTTGTATTTTTCCTGTTAAGCCAGAAACAGATAAAATGATTTAAATCCCAGTAGAAAAGACTATATAGTTATTTCGCATCATAGAATTCCACCTTATTAGCAAAAACACAATATGTCAATTGAAGGTCTGGTCGTGTTATCTAGAATTTGTCTTATGACACAAGAGTCCAAATTCACAGTTCCCTGTCTCCCTTTTTGTCTCTCTGTAACGTGTGCTTTTTTTCTCCCTGTGTTGTTTGTGTGTCTTTCTTTCTCTCTCTCATTTGAGGAAAAAATATCAGACTGATAACATCCTCCAACTTGATACTGGAATATTGCAATAACTGAAGGTTGAAATCTACACATTTAATGTGCTGTCATTCTTACAAATGTCTCTTATTTACACCTATCTTTCTGGAGTTTGTAAGAACTTTTTCACTATGCATTTTAAATTTGTAAAACTCATAATTTTTAAAAAGGGATGGGTCTCACTGTTTGCCCAGGGTGGCCTTTACTCATTCTATAAGGCTGGCATCACCCTGATACTAAAGACAGAAAAGAACATTAAACAAAAGAAAACTACATGCCAATATTCCTGATGAACATAGAGGCAAAAATCCACAAAAAATACTAAGAACTGAATCCCGCAGCATATCAAAAAGTGAATCCACCATGATCAAGTCAACTTTATTCTTAGGGTGCAAGGTTGGTTGAACATACACAATCAATACATGTGATTCATCACCTAAACAAAACTAAAAACAAAAACCACATGATCTTCTCAACACACATGTAGAACATACTTTTTACTAAGCATTTCTTCATGTTAAAAGCCCTCAACAAGCTAAGCATTGAAGAAACATAACTCAATATAATAAGAGCCGCCTGTGACAAACCCACAACCAACATCATACTGAATGAGTAAAAGCTGGAAGAAGTTCCCTTCATAAGTGAAACAAGACAAGAATGCCCACTCTCACCATCCTATTCAACATAGTACTTGAAGTCCTAGACAGAGCCATCAGGAAAGAGAAAGAATTATAAGGCATCCAAGTAAGAAGAGAGTAGCAGAGAGAGGTAGTCAAATTACCTCTGTTTGAAGATGAGATAATTTCTATACCTAGAAACCCCATAGTCTCTGCCCAAAGGCTCCTACATCTGAGAAACAAACTTCAGCACAGTTTAAGGGCAGAAAGTCAATGTACAGGCTGGGTGTGGTGTCTCAGCCTGAAATCTAGCACTTTGGGAGGGCGAAGCGGGTGGATCACCTGAGGTCTGGAGTTCGAGACCAGCCTGGCCAACATGGCGAAACCCTGTCTCTACTAGAAACACAAATATAGCCGGACGGGGTGGTACGCAACTGTAGTCCCAGCTGCTTGGGAGGCTGAGTCAGGAGAACCGCTTGAACCTGGGAGGCAGAGGTTGCAGTGAGCGGAGATCACGCCATTGCACCTCAGCTTGGGCAACAACAGTGAAACTGCATCTCAAAAAAAAAACCAAAACAAATTTAATTAATGAGGAAAAGGGTATTTGTGGTGTCCATCATGATGTTTTCATATAGGTACACATTGTGGAATGGATGAAACAACCTCTTTATCATATTTATTTTTTCACATACTTGTATGTTTTGTGTGTGTGGTGAGAACATGTAAAATCTAATCTCTTAGTAATGTTCAATACACCATATGTTGCTATTAACTGGAGTCACCAAGACATACAATAGATCTCTTGAACCGATTTCTTCTAACTGAAATTTTGCATCCTTTGACCAACATCTCTTCAATCTCTCTCCATCCCAGGTTCTTTCGACGACCATTTTACTGTTCCTCTAGGTTCCACTTCTTACACTCCACACATGAGATCATGTGGCATTTGTCTTTCTGTGCCTGGATTGTTTCCCTTAACATAATGTCCTCTAAGTTTTTTCACATTGTCACAAATGAGAGGACTTCCTTCTTTGTTGTAAAGGTTGTATAGTACTTCATTACGTTCCTATCGTATACCACGTTTTCTTTGTCCATGCACCCATAGATGGGCAGTAAGGGTGATTCCACATCTTGGCTGTTATGAATAATGCGGCTGTAAACATGGGAATGCAGATATCTCTTCAACATACTGATTCCACTTCCTTTGGATACATGCGCAGTAGTTGGATTGCAGACACATATGGGAATTCTATGTTTAATTTTTTCAGGAACTTCCAGACTGTTTTCCATAATGGTTGTGCTAATTTACATTCCCATCAACTGCATACAAATGTTCCCTTTTCTCCACATCCTCGTTAACCCTTGTTATTTTTTATGTTTTTGATAATGGTCTTTTTTTTTTTTTTTTTTTTGAGACTCAGTCTTGCTCTGTCACCCAGGCTGGAGTGCAGTGGCACAATCTCGGTGTACTGCAACCTCTGCCTCCTGGGTTCAAGCGATTCCCCTGCCTCAGTCTCCAGAGTAGCTGGGACTACAAGTGTGCGCCACCAAACTCTGCTAATTTTTGTATTTTTAGTAGGGATGGGGTTTCACCATATTGGCCAGGCTGGTTTCGAACTGCTGACCTCAGGTAATCTCCCTGCCTCGGCCTCCCAAAGTGCCTGAATTACAGGCATGAGCCACCATGCCCAGACTGTTAATGGTCATTCTAAGAGGTGTGAGGTGATATCTCATTCTAGTTTTAATTTTTATTTAGCTGATGTTTAGTAATGCTAATCATTTTTTCATATACCTTTTGGTGATTTGTCTTATTCTTAGAAATGTTTATTCAGATACTTTGCCCATTTTTTTAAGTTGGGTTATTTGATTTCTTACCATTGAGTTGTTTGAGTTTCTTATATATTTTGGATATTAATTCCTTATTAGATGTATGGGTGCAAATATATTCTCCCATTCCATAGGTTGTCTTTCCACTTGTTGAGTTTTTTTTTTCTTTGCAGAAACTTTCAATTTGATATAATGTTATTTGTCTACTTTTGCTTTTGTTGCCTGGGCCTTTGGGTTAATATCCAAAATGGTTTTGCCCAAGCCAGTGGAGTTTTCCCTTGATTTCTTTTAGTAGTTTTTTTTTTTTTTTTAAGATGGAGTCTCACTGTGTTGCCCCGGCTGGAGTGCAGTGGTGCGATCTCGGCTCACTGCAACCTCTACCTCCTGGGTTCAAGTGATTCTCCTGTCTCAACCTCCCGAGTAGCTGAGATTACAGGCACCCACAACCACACCCAGCTGTTTTTGTATTTTTAGTAGAGGCGGGATTTCACCATGTTGGCCATGCTGGTCTTGGAATCCTGACCTTAGGTGATCTGCCCACCTTGGCCTCCCAAATTGCTGGGATTATAGTCTTTCATCTTACATTTAAGTCATTAATCTATCTTGAGTTGACTTTGTATGTTTTGTGAGGCAAATGTCCACTTCCATTCTTCTGCATGTGGACATGCAGTCTCCCAATCCCATTTATTAAAGAGACTGTTCCTTCTCCATTGTGTGTTCTTGACACATCCCAAAAATTGTTTGACCCTAAATGCATGCATTTTTTTCCTGGGCTATGAATCACTTCCATTGGTCTATGTGTCTGTTTTTATGCAAGTACTGTGTTGTTTTAATTACTGTAATTTTGTAATGTAGTTTGTGTTTAGGTAATGTGATGCTTCCAACTTTGTTCCTTTCCCTCTAGATGGCTTTGGTTATTTGAGATCTTTTGTGGTTCCACATGAATTTTAGGACTGTTTTTTCTATTTCTGTAAAAAAAATGTCATTGGATTTTTGATAATGGTTGCATTGAATCACTTTGGATAGAATGGACATTTTAACAACATTAATCCTTCTGATCCGTGAACATGGAATATCTTTCGATTTATTTGTTTATTTCTTGAGTTTTTTCATCAATGTTTTATAGCTTTTGCATACAGATCTTTCTACTCCTTGGGTGAATTTATTCCTGCATGTTTTGTTTTCTGTAGTTATTGCAAATGGGCTTATTTTCTTGTAAACTTTTTTGGATAGTTTGTTGTTAATGTATAGAAACTTTGTTGTTGTTGTTGTTGTTGTTTTGATGATACCCATCCTAAGGGGTATGAAATGGCATCTGGTGTAGTTTTAGTTAGTATTTCCCTAATGATTCGTGATGCTGAATATCTTTTCATGCGTATGTTCTTTGGAGAAATGTCTGTTTCAGTACTTTGCCCATTTTTGAATTGAGTTTATTGTGATTGAGTTTTAGGAGTTGTCTGTATATTCTGGATGTTAATCCCTTACAGGTGGTGTGGTTTGAAAACATTTTCTCCCATTCTGTGGGTTGTCTTTTTACTTTGATAATATCGTCTTAAAAGTTCTTTTTCCTTGCCATGTGAAGTAACTGATGTTGTCTTTTGAGTCACAATATTTCAAAATTTTCATAAAGTCTAACTTGTTTATTTTTTCTGTAGTAGCCTGTGCCGTTGTTGTCACATCTAAAGAATCACTGCCAAATCCGATGTTGTGAAGTTTTCCTTTGTGTTTTCTTCTAAGACTTTAATTAAATTTTATTTGTCAATATTTAGGACTGACAAAAGCTTTTTAACATTCCTGGCACCATCTCAGTTATTGATCTACTCCCAAGATGGATCATTTCAATTAAAACATGTAAAGCATGACCTCACCTGAATGTGTTTGAACTTGCTCTTCTCCCTTTCAAATCGACTCCCTCACTTACATAGTTTGTGTTCAAATGTCAACAAATAAAACATAAAAAGAAATCAATCTTTTCATAGACCCTTTATCTAAAATAGAATAGTAGGTGCCATGACATTTCATCCTTTCATCTTGAATTATTTACTTTTCTACATGAAACAATCCATTCTTCTGTGTGCATGTGTGTGTGTGTGTGTGTGTGTGTAGTTTATCTGTCTACATATAATGTAAACACCAAAAAATAACAGACATTTAGTAATTTTCAAATGAGACTTCAGGAATTAACAATGGCTTGCCATTTTTAGTGTGTTATTATTATTATATTTAGATGAACAGAATTGCCTCAGGAACATGGCCAGGGGCTCATAGTCCAGGAGAACTGTGGCCTGACTCAGGTACATTTTACCTGCAATAACAGCAATTGCAGGTCACTGGAGTCCATCACAATTGGCTGGAGACAAATGTAAGACAAGAATATTTGCAGTTTCCCCAGACTGACACAGTTGCAGGTTCCCCGAAGTAATGAGTCCTGAGACACCTCCAACAAGAGCTAGAAAAGGTATCACTTCAAGAGGAGTTGCAGCCTACTCATTTTAGACAAATGGAGCAAAATTACAGTATCACATCTTTTCCTTTCTCCTTCATAGAATCTGGATGAACAGAACAGAAAGAGTTAATGGAATATAAGATTCCAATTCTCTGGCATGAGAAAATAGACAAGGAAAGGAAGATTCATCTTCATCACATCTCAGACATGCTTGGACACAGGGTCCAAGCACAAAAGAGAAACACATACTTCTTCCCATCCACACTGGGATCCAGGGTCTTCTCCCTCCTGTCAGGCCAGAACTGAGTCTCCACTCCCCAATTTAGTTCCCAGAGATGAAGCCCAATTTTCCTCTGTCTCAAGCTTTGAAGGCCAGCTTTAGCGTGTTCACCATGGATGAATGAAGGTGAGGTCAGAGGTTTGGGAAATGGTCAAGAATGAGGTGAGAAGAGAGCTGTGGAGGCATGGCCCCGGGGAGCTTGGTACCCCCCCATATCCAGAGCCTGTCTGGTCCAGGAGAGTTCCCAACCCTGTGAGCACCAACTCCGGATATTCTGGGCAGTGACCCGAGGGACAGCCTCTTATGAATACAGGCTGTTTTCCTCCAGTGTCTGCTGTGAAACCAGGATGTACAACATGGCCGTGTTCAACCCAACAATGGACTTAGGATTTTGCTGTACGCCAAAACTCAGTGTCCAACTTCCACTCTGTTTAGCTGGAAAAAGAAGGGGTTTGTTCCCATACATCTCACTCCTGTGTTCCTCTTTCAGTCTCAAAGCTCAGATGAAAACAATGAGTGTCACTTATTGTCAATCCTCTTCCCTGCCTTTTCCACACTCATCAGTATTACCGTTTACATTGAGACTAAAGATGGCCAATCACCACTTTTCTTCGGAAAAATCAACCTGATGTTGTACCTACTTTTTTAGAGGTGGAATCAACCTACCCTAAGATGCCAACTACATTTTACTGAATGGACTTTTGTGGATCCCCTCGATGTATATAGTGGCACCTTGAGGTATCATCCCTGTCTTTAGCAAATGAATATTATCCCAAGGACAATATTTCATCACAATTATTCGGGATGGACGAGTGGATATTGTGGTAGCAAGAACATTACTAAAAGTCACAGCTGATACAACACACTTGAAACCCATCTGGCCAATCTCCCACAGACAGAATGTCGCGCCATTCACTCCAGCCAGCTTCAGTCATGTTTCTTCCATTTCCACCTGTGGCCCCTCATGTCTCCACCAGGTCTTAGCCAGCATTGCCAAAAGAGCCAGGAAGACCAGACCAGCCACAACAATCCTGATGGAACTCTCCACAGTATAGTTCTGGAGAACAGGGGCTGGAGGGTGGGGGTAAGATCAGAGACCTTTCCATGTGGGCCAGGCCCCTCTCTCCCCAGAAGCTCTGAAATGGAGCTATTTCCCCATCTCACCTTCATAAAATTCTTCCTGTCCAGAACCCCTCTTCTCCCTATATCATCATGAGCACCTTCAGAAGTCTTTTGCCACAAAAAGAAATTTCTTTTGAAGATATACATTTTTTTGTACATTTCAAAAATGTTCCCAAACTAATTCTCCAAAGCAATAAATGTTTGTGTGTATTGCTGGGTAGGTTATGTATACAAGGAAAGGAAGCATAGTGAGTCTGATTTGGCAGAGGAAACATATGTGGAAATTATATCATTTACTCTCTTTACAAAATTAAGTACAAAATTGAAAACACTGGTAAGAAAGAATGAGCTATAGAGAAAGAAAACATCTGAGATGCTTGTTTCCAAGATGGCTGACTAAATGCTTTTCTGGCATGTCTCATCCACTTAGAAGAACGAGCAGAATCCAGAACAAAAACCATATGATCATCTCAATAGACATAAAGAAAAGCATCTGAAAAGAAATTCAACATCCTTACCTGATGAAAACCCTCAAAAACTTAGGCATAGAAAGAACATACCTCAAAATAATAAAAGCCATAGATGACATATCTAGAGTCAACATCATACTGAACAGGAAAAGTTAAAAGCACTCCTCTGAGAACTGGCACAAGACAAGGACACGGACATCCACCACTTCCTATCAACATAGTACTGGAAGCCTTGTCAGAGCTATTGGGCAACAGGAAGAATTAAAAATCCAAATTAGAAAAGAGGAAGTAAAATTATTTTTATTTCTGATGCTATGATCTTAAATCTAGAAAATCCTAAAGACCCTGCCAAAAATTCTTATGATTGATAAATGAACTAAGTAAAGTTTCAGAATACAAAATCAATATGTAAAAGCCGGTAGCATTTCTCTACACCTATAATGATCTAGCTGAGAACCAAATCAAGAAGGCAATGCCGTTTACAATAGATACGCAAAATTAAAACACTCAGGAATACATTTAACCAAGGTGGTGAAAGATCTGTACCAGGAAAGGTGTAAGACACCAATGAAAGCAATTATAGATAATACAAAAAAAAAAAAAAGAAAAAAAATCCCACGCTCATGGATCATAAGAATTAATATTGTTAAAATGACCATACTGCCTAAAGCAATCTACAGATTCAGTGCAATTCTTATATGAAAATAGTAACACCAGTTTTCACAGAATTAGAAAAAGCAATCCTAAAATTCATACAGAACCAAAAAAGATCCTAATAGAGAAAGCAATTCTAGGTGAATGTAGAAACCTGGAGGCATCACGCTATCTGACTTCAAACTATGCTCTAAGGCTATAGTAACTTAAATAGCACAGTGCTGGTATAGACACAGAAACAGAGATCAATAGACCAGAATAGAGAGCCCAGAAATACAGCCTCATATCTACAGTGAATAATCATTGACGACGTTAACAAAACATACACTGGAGAAAGATTTCCTTTTCAATAAAAGGTGCTGGGAAAACTAAATAGCCATATGCAGAAGAATAAAACTGGACCTGTATCTGTAATCATACACATAAATTAACTTAAGGTAATTAGCAGCTTAAATGTAAATCCAGAACTATAAAATCACCGGTGGAAACCCAAAGAGAAACTCTTCTGGGCATTGGTCTGGGCAAAGAATTCATCACTAAGACCTCAAAAGCACAGGCAATAAAAATAAAACTAGACCAATGGGACTTAATAAACGAAAGAGCTTCTGCCAAGCAAAGGAAATAGTAGCAGGGTGAACAGACAACCCACAGAATGAATGGAAATGTTTGCAAACTATGCACCCAACAGAGGACTAACATCCAGAATTTCTAGGCAACTCAAACAACTAAACATAACCCCTCAAATAATAGCATTAAAAAGTGGGCAAAGGGATATACATAGACATTTTTCAAAAGAAGACATACGAATGGCCAAACAGCGTATGAACATCACTAATCATCAGAGAAATGCAAATTGAAACCACAATGAGATATCATCTTACAGTAGTCAGAATGGCTATTACTAAAAATGCTGGTGGGGAGTGGTGGCTCACGCTTGTAATCCCAGCACTTTGGGAAGCTGAGGCGGGTGGATCATGAGGTCAGGAGTTTGAGACCAGCCTGACCAACATAGTGAAACCCCATCTCTACTAAATATACAAAAGATTAGCTGGGCATGGTGGTGTGGTTCTGTAATCCCAGCTACTCAGGAGGCTGAGGCAGGAGAATCATTTGAACCTGGTTGGTGGAGGTTGCAGCGCGTGGAGATGGCGGCACTGCACTCCAGCCTGGGTGACAGTGGAAGACTCCATCTCAAAAAGAAAAAAAGAAAAAGTGAAACATATAACAGGTGTTGGCAAGGATGCAGAGAAAAGGAAACTCTTATACACTGTTGGCCGGTATGTAAATTAGTATAGCCTCTATGGAAGACAGTATGGAAATTTGGCAGAGAACCAAAAATAGAAGCACCATTCGATCTAGGGGTCCCGCTGCTGGGTATCTACTCAAAAAATACCTGCACCTGTATGTTTATTGCAGCACTGTTTGCAATAGCAAAGATATGAAATCAATCTAAGTGTCTGTGAATGAATGATTGGATTAAAAAAAGGATGCGTGTATACACAACGAAATACTATTTGGTCATAAAAATAAAACCATGTCTTTTGCAGCAACATAGATGGAGCTGGACGCCATTATTTTACATAAAACCACTCAGAAAGACAAATACCACATCTTCTCACTCTACATGGGAGGGGAGTAATGTGTACATATGGACGTAGAGTGTGGAATGACGGACAGCGGAGGCTAGAAGGCTGGAGGGTGGCGGGACGTGGGTGAGTGATGAGAATTTGCTTAATGAGTACAATGTACGGTATTTGGGTGATGGATATAGTAAAAGTCCTGACTTCACTACTCTGCAACATACTCATGTCACAAAATTACAAGTGTACCTCATAAATTTATACTAATAGAAAAGAAAGTCTGTACACAGTAATCAATTGTGATATGTAGATAAAGTCAATATTAAATTTAAACCAGAATAACTAGTTAAAATGTTGTGTACACAACAGTGAAGAGAGTATTTATCCTCTATGACAGAGGAAACCATCAATATTAATGCACAGAAAAAGCAAATAACTGAAACAAGAAAGAGCAGTTTTGTGACAGGGTAAAAATTGACAACAGTTTTAGAATGCTCCTAACTTGAGTTCCAAAAAGAAAGAACGAGAAAACAGGTCAGAAGCAATCTTTAAAGAGGCAATTGTTGATTATTTGGAGGAAGTAGACACATCCATCAATCCACAGGTTCAAGAAATCCAGTGAATGCCAGGCAGAATGAAGTAAACACACCTCACGTTCAACATTACAGAAAAGCAGCATAAAAGCACAACCAACCCTTAAAATTAGCCAGAGGAAAAGGATCAGCTGGTAAGGATTTATAGGGAGCCAAGCATTGTCTTCCCCACAGAAAAAAGGAAAACATAAGCCAGTAGAATAGCATCTTTACCCAGCTAAGATACCGTCGCCAGCCACCGACAATTCCTTACATAGTACAGTTACTGTCCAAGATCAACGCAGGAAAGAAACAGAACTGAAAGACAAAAGGGCAAAGAAAGCTTTTCTCACTGACCCTAAAGGAAATTCTGATGACCGTGCCTCAAAGATAAAGAAAGTGAAACCAGATGGGGTGTCGAAGATTCTGACAATAACTAAGAGCAGAGGAAGAACTAAAAATATGGCTATGCCAAAAATGAATATGGACCATACGATAGTGTATGAAAACACGCCCCTGTGTAATTTCTGAAAAAGATAGAATTATGTATACCACAAAACAAAACATCATATAAGTAAATACAAACATATGTACTAAATATGCTCTAAAATCCTGTTCTTACACAGGAAGAGTGGAAATATGTTTTTATATTTGCAGTTTAATCTCTGAAATGATTAATTTCAATTTTAAAAATATGTAACAACTTCAGGATGAGTACACCATATATGTATTCCTAAACGACATAGATCAAAAATAGAATGTTTGAAATAGAAAACCACAGAAGTCAGTGGGAAAAAAAGGGAATCAGGAAAACACAACGTAATAATAACAAAAATATGATTGGAAGAACTGCTCAAACATGAACAAAAGATTGTCAGAAAGTCTTACTTTCTAAGGCGAATTGTTTGAAATTTACAAAGGACACATCTCAATGTTAACAATTCATGGAGTTTGAAATTAAACAATGTAGAAATATACCAAGCAATCACTGTTAGAAATGTGGTATAACTATATTAAAATTAGACAAAATTAGTCTTTGGGAAAAATCAGCGGAAAACATTAAGCATAAAATGTAGGAAAAAAGCAGGTAAATTTATAGCATTTTAAATTTACCAGGAATATATAATCAGTTTACACTTAACCACTCCCAGTAATATTCCTGCAAATATACATGGAGGAAGAGTCGCGGAAATAAATGGACAGGTAGGCAAATCCACGGCCACAGTGGGGTGTTTAACACTCCTCTTTTCTCAGTTGTTGATAGAAGTGGTTCAGGCAATTAGAGAGGATTTAGAAAGATAATTGCTGGACCTGACCCAAGGTATAAGTCCACTCCCAACCACAGGACTCACTTTCCTTACAAGCACAAGGGCATTTAGAAATCTCTCTGGATTCTGACCAGCCCTCACCATATGGCAGGTCCATGGACTTCTTGGAACACACCAAGCTCATTCTCACATTAGGGTCATCCCCAATGTCCTAAGTCCATGAAAGTTCCTTTCAACACACTCCCCAGGGCTCACTCCCTCTTGTCTCTAAGATCGGAGTTTAAATGTGATCTCTCTGATGAGGTCTCAGTGAGACGTTCCCTCCTGTACACTCCAAATGACAACGTTCCACGTTCATTCATTTCATTCTGTGCATGGCACTTTCACCAAGTGCTAAGGATTCACTCACTAATTCATACATTCATTCATTCATTCATTCACTCATTCCATCATTCACTCATTCATTCATTCTCTCATTCATTCATTCATGTTCTGCCTCTCTCTCCCACCCCACAGCAATGTGAGCATCATGAACCCAGGAGCTTGGCCGTGCTGTCTACTCCTGGCCGTGAAACAGAGAGAACTGATGGTAGGTGTGAAATAAATATTAGATGAATGAGTTAGTGAAGGGGTCATTTACTGGGTGAGCTCAGTTCTCTCTACTCTAATGCCCTCCCTCGGCTGACTTCCCTGAGTTGCCCCCTCGGCTGAGTGAAGTCCCTTCACTGGCAAATGGAACCTCAACCAGTAGCACCTAGGTGGTCTCATACTTTGTTCTTTCCCTCTCCTCTTGCTCCCTAAGGATTATCAATCTCCATGACAGGGCTGGAGAGCAGACAAGCCACACATTCTTTCTGGGGAGAGAGTAACATGGAGTACAAGGCATTCCACATTTAGGAAGAGAACTCAGTTATGGAAGGTCAGAAATGAAAAGTTCCTACAGACCAACACCCAGGTTGGTGGCCACAGCCCTAAATGCTGATGGAGAATCACTGCAAGTCTGTAGGGAAGATGTCTGGCTTGAGGCCACTGAGCGAAGTGGCAGATCCTTCTCAGCCTTCAGTGCTGAGCCTCTGTCCCCTCAGGGATCCACTGACCAATGAGAAGAGCCTCTTCTCATCTCCTGGGATGGAGCTTGGGGCCCCTGGCGAAGGAATGGGCCTGTTTCCACCTGTCATGTTGTCATCTAGCTTGGAAATCCTGCGAGTCCCAGGGAGGCCCTCCCCGAGTCCCCAGAGAAGACTCCCCCACTGAGTCTCCAAGGTGTGGAGAGAGCAAAAAACATCTAGGGTGGAAAATGCCTCCCATCAAGAGACATTGGGGCTCCCCCAACGATGGTTGCATCTGTGCCCCCCATGTGGAAATCACTCTTTGGTGAGAGGTGGGGGCTTCTGGAAATGGGCAATGGCGGGCGGCCAATGCTACCTCTAGTCTTTCCAATCTGAGCCCGGCCTTTCATGCTCCTGAGTCAGCATTGATGCTGTTTACATGTGTCCCAGGTGGGCTTCTGTACAAAGACTGGGAAGTGGTTTATGTGGCCTGTGCTCTATCTGCAAGCTTCAGGTAGGGTTGCAGTTACCACCCCAAACCCTAATGTGATCTGTCTGCCTCGCTCTGTCTGTCTGTCTATGCCTCTTTCTGTATGTTTGCTTTGTGTCTCTTCTGTCCAGCATCTCTGGCTGACACCCCCATGGCCACCCCCTCCATCTGAGGCTCCCCTGAATGTGGCCATTGTAGTCCATCTGAGTCCCACTATTTGGGGAACAGACTGGTTTCCTCACCTGTGACAGAAACAAGCAGTGGGTCACTAAGGTCTGACCACTCGTAGGGAGAGTCACGGAAAGAGCCGAAGCATCTGTAGGTCCCTCCGTGGGTGGCAGGGCCCAGAGGAAAGTTGGCCTGGAAGGTTCCATTGACCTTGGGCACTGCAGGGAGCCTAAGTTCATGAGCCTCCCCGTCCCTTGATAGATGGTAGATGTCATAGGAGCTCCGGGAGCTGCAGGACAAGGTCACGCTCTCTCCTGCCTTAACCATGGGGCGCGGCTGGGCTGAGAGAGAAGGTTTCCCACATAGACCTGGAAGGAGAAGAGGCAGTTTCCTCAGGGAGGTTCTTCCTTGTCACAACTCCCCTCCCACCTGAGCTGAGAACTCACTCCCCTGCTCTATGGCCTAATGCTCTCTCTCTCTGTCTCACCCTCCACACCATCTCTCTTTATGTCTATTTCCTCTTTCCACCTTCTCTGTCTCTCTAGGTCTCTGACCTCACTTTCTCACCTCTAGATATGTTTTCCCTTTTTGGATTGTTTTATTCTCTCTGACTCTCCTTGGACTAGTTGACTTGATGTTACTTTTTTTAAATTCTGAGTTTCTCACTTTGTGTCCTGTTCATAACTTTCTGCATATTTCTATCTATTATCTATCGATATATCTATTTATCTATTTGGTGCCTATCTACAAATTCTCTACCTGTCATCTATATCTATATATAATCTATTTATCTATCAATTGTCTATCCAAAAATCATCTATTATCTATATCTATGTATCGTCTCTCTCTCTCTATGATTTCTCTTTGTCTGCCTCTCTATCTCTATGTATTATCTATCTATCTTCATCTTCATCATCTCTATGTATCATCGATTAATCAATGAATGAATCAATCATCATCTATGTATCTTTAACCTATTATCTATCATCTACCTATTTATCATCTATCTATATCTATCCATCTATCATCTGTCTTGCTCTGCCTCTCGGTCTCTCTAGTTCTCTTTGGAATCTCTGCAATTCATCCCCACATCTCCATCTTTCTATGTCCTTGTGTCTCTCCCTCAGGACTCTAATTTTAGTGCTTTTCTCTGTTCCCTTCCATTGTTCTCTCCACTTCTCTGCCCTCTTTTCTCCCTCTTTATGTGTCTGTGAGTCTCTCAATCTCCTTCCTCTGGCTCATTCTCTGTGTGTTTATGTCTTTGCTTTTTGGTGTCCCTGATTTCTCTCTGTGTCTCTCAGTGATCCTCTCATATGTGGGGTTATTTGGAATGTGAGCCTCAGAATCCAGTCTGGGGACCGCAAGTTCACACAGTATACAGGGGTTGATGTTCTGGGGCCATGATATCCTGGGACGATTACTCTCCATTGCATGGAAGGCAGAGGTGTCAGAATAAACACGGCATCTGTAGGTGCCAGAAGGCCTGAGGCCACAGGGCCCAACTCAGGCCAGAAATATGGGTGTCCTTGGGTTCTTCTGGTAGAGAACACTTTGTGGAAGTAAAACAGAAATGAAACTTCTAACCTGTGCCAGGTCTCTGAGCAAAGTCAGCATGGAAGGACACCTCTCTCTGGCACATGTCTGTCTGTGTCTCCTTTAACTCTTTCTGTCTTTTCTAACTCCCTGTATGGCCCCTGTGTCTGTCCTCTGTTATGACACCTGGTCTGTACTTGTGTCTCCTGTTTCTCTGTCTCTGTTGGTACAGACCTCACCAAGTTAGTCTCTCTCCATAAGAATACCAAGCTCATCTTCCTTATAACCACCTGGGCCTCCAAGTCGTGGATCATTCACTCTGTGTCCCAGTGACAATGAGAATAATGTCCAGACACTCTCACCTGTAATCACGATGTCCAGAGGGTCACTGGGAGCTGACAACTGATAGGGGGAATGAGGAACAGAACCGTAGCATCTGTAGGTCCCTGCAAGGTCTTGCGTCATGCGACCGATGGAGAAGTTGGCCTTGGAGACCCCATCATGGAGCTCTCCAGTGAGGCGCAAAGTGTCATTAAACGTCCCCTCTCTGTGCAGAAGGAAGTGCTCAAACATGACATCTGACCAACATTGCAGGATGACTGTCTCTTCTGATTTCACCAGGGGACCTGGGTGGGCCAGGAGGGAAGGTTTTCTGTGGACTCCTAGGAAGAGAGGTTGTGACTTTAGAAGGCATCTCTCTTTATCATCCCATCCATGGCACCTAGAATGAGTGAGGCTTCCCCTCGCTGGTGTCTTATCTCTCTCCTTCCTCTCTGTGTCTTCATGTTCTTTTCTGTGCCCATAACTCCTGGTACAGGTCCTTCCATCTGTCTCCCTCCCTCTTCTCTGTCCCTCTGTCTCTAGTAGCTCCTGATTCCCTTGCCGCTGGGCTCAGCCTCATCTCTTGGGCTGTTGTATCTATTTCGAACTAATGTCTTTCCTGCTTCTATGTGGGGGTGGAAGAGGAACCAGGATAGGCTGCACGTCCAGGCTCTTAGCAGACTGGTTCAATCTCTTTTGGACGATTTGGAATCCTTGGCAGAAGGTATGAACTGATCAGTAAGGCAGGCACCAGTGTCCACACACCCTGTTCCTGGTGGGGACTGGGAGCCACTCTTGCCATGCCTGTGCCTTCTCCATGGTGCCAGCTTCCATAGGCTGGCTTCTGGTGCTGGTTTGAGGAGTATCAACCCCTCCCTATGTGGATGGAGCCTGGTGGTGGCATCATCATCCCACCCTTGCTGATCTCGGTGTAGCCAACCTTCTCTTTGTTTGGTTTCTTTAATTAATTAATTAATTTTGGAGTCAGAGTCTCACTCCTTCACCCAGGCTGGAGTGAAGTGGTGTGGTCTAGGCTCACTGCAACCTCTGTCTCCTGGGTTCAAGTGATTCTCCTGCCCTCAGCCTCCTGAGTTGCTAGGATTACATGCACCTGCCACCACGCCCGGCTATCCTTGTGTCCTTTCTTATCTTGTCCTTGACCTGGGTTCCAGTGTTGGTTTCCTGTTGGTGCTGTGGAAAATTATCAGAAGCATGGCAGCAGGAGAGAGCACACTGACCCCTTCCGTTTCTGGAGACAGAAATCGGACCCTGTTTTTTGAGGGCTAAAATCAAGGCATCTGCAGGGCTGCGTTCCCTCTGGAGACCCAGGAGAATCAGTTCCTTGACTTTTCCAGCCTCTATAGGCCACCTGCATTCATGGCTCATGGCCTTCCTCCACCTTCAAAGCTGATGGAGACTTCCATTGCACTGCTCTAATCGCCACTCCCCTCTTCCTTCTCCTCTCATGTGCACCCTTGTGATTACACTGAGCCCAGCAGGACAGTCCAGGCTGTCTCCCCATCTCAAGGTCAACTCAACAACCTGAGCTCCATCTTCCCCTTCAGTGCCTTCCCCTATAACATAAATAGTCACAGACTGCAGGGATTAGAATGCAGTCATCATTGGGGACAATTATTCTTTCCACCACAGCACCCATTTCCCTGTATTCAATCCCCTTTTACCCCAAATACAGTTAGGGTCTGGATGATGGGACGCTGGTGGACACTCCCACCAGAAGCTCTGGGACTCAGGAGGTGGGACAAGGAGAATCCCAGACAGGAGCCCTCTGACCTGTGACCATGATCACCAGGGGGTTGCTGGGTGCTGACCACCCAGTGAGGAAGTGTGGGTGTGAACCCCGACATCTGTAGGTCCCTGCATGTGCTGGGGTCACAGGGCCTATGAAAACGGTGTTTCGGAATACTCTGTTGTAGAGCTCAGGGACAGGCATCCCGTCTTCTTTGGACAGACTGAATTCGTTAAACCCAAGACGAGAGCGACACTGAAGAGCCACATGTTCTCCTTCAGACACCACAGGGCTGGGCCAGGCAGAGAGGAAGGGCTTGTCCTGACCACCTGGGGGAGAAGGAGGCGCCACCTTAGAGAGGAGGATGTGGCACTCCCTCCCTCTATTCCTTTCCAGGACTCACCAACACACGCCATGCTGACGACCATGAGCGACATGGTGCTGCCGGTGCAGACAGGCGGCCGCGCCCCAGCTCAGCTCAGCAGCGCACAGGATGTTATTTGGCGCCCTGCCCATGCAGCTTACATGTTGACTACATCATGGGAGGGTGACGTACGCAGGCTCTTTCTACCTTGCATGAGGCCCAGTGGATGCTTGCTCAAGAGCGGAACACGGCTTCCTGGAAATTGTTCTCACTAGAATTGGCACCTCACGTCCTTCACTATGACCAACTCACAACACGTCTCAGATCCAACCTCCCGAACACAAGATGCCTAAAATCTGTGCTAACGTGAAAGACTTTTCATGTATTTTTATCCGAACACGAGATGCCTAAAATCTGTGCTAACATGAAAGACTTTTCATGTATTTTTTTTGTTTTTATCTGAGATTCAAACTCTTCTTCCTGTGTAATATGCAAAGTATCTAATAGGTATTATTAATGTTTTCGGAGTCATTGTGACTAATAAACCATTAGAATTTTTCATGCTTGTATTTCTAGTATTACAGCAGAACCAGCTAAAATGATTTAAATTCCCAGGGAAGGATTATGCAATTATTTACAATCTTAGAATTGTACTTTATCAGCAAAAACCACACCTGTAAATTCTGGAGTTTTGTAGTTTAATCTAAAATTTGTCTCATGACCCAAGATTCCAGAGTCCCAACTCTGGAGTTTGCTCTCTGTCTGTCTCTCTCCCTCCCTCGTTTTAAATTTTACAGAAATATCCAGTAACATAATGCTATAGAAAATCAAGTTTTCCCCAGCACGTTGGGAAGCCGAGGTGGGCGGATCAACTGAGATAAGGAGTTTGAGAGCAGCCTGGCCAATATAGTGAAACCGTGTCTCTGTTAAAAATCCAAAAATTAGCCGTGCCTGGTGGCAGGCACCTGTAACGCCAGCTACTCAAGAGGCTGAGGCACGAGAATCGCTTGAACCTGGGAGGCGGAGGTTGCAGTGAGCTGAGATTGTGCCACTGCAGTCCAGCCTGGGCGACAGAGCAAGACTCCGCCTCAAGAAAAAAAAAGCAAACAGCCTATAATAACAAATTAGAGGGCTCTGGCTACTAAATTTAAAGGGTTCTATAAGGCTACATAAAGTGCAGCATCATCAAGAGTGTGGACACAGAGAGCCCCTTAGCAGAAACAGTGTCTAAAATACATCCATGTACACACAGTCCCTTTAGAGTTGACAAAGGCTGCCGTGTGGTTTAAGGTGGCATAGAATGTCTTCTCAATAAATAATATTAAACCAATTGGTTACACCTAGGAAAAAATAAATCTAACTCACACTATAAAAACACTTCTTAGTTTTTATCTAGTTGTACATTTTTTATGATTTATATTTAAATTTGAGAAATAAAAGTCATATACGGTCATCCTTCACTATTCGTGGGTGATTGGTTTTGAGATCTCCACTCAGATACCAAAATCTGTAGATGCTCAAGCCTCTTATATGAAATGGCACAGCGTTTGCAAATAACCTATGCACATCCTCCTGTATACATGAAATCATCTCTAGATTACTTATAATTCCTGATACAGCCTACACACAGCTTCATTTGTGTCCATTCAACATAGTTATGCTTTTTGAAACTCTGTGGATACTTTCTCTCAATATTTTTGATTTATACTTGGTTCAATAAACACCTGTAAACCCCGCAGATATGGAGGAGTGACCGTATATTTATATTATGAAAGATGATGTGTTGATATGTGTCCCCATGGAGATGAGACTAACAAGGCCTATGATTCTACAAATGTTTCATTGTGGAATGACTCTGCCAGCTTTCCAGGTCTGCAGAGAGTAAGAGTATCACTTGTTCATATGATTCGTGATCCTTGGAACCTCCTATGTGCTACATCTTTGGATGGAAATTGGAGTCCCAGAGACAAATGAGGCTCCACCCTGCTTCCAGAAACTCAGAGTCCGGGGATGAGAACTCAGTGGGGAACAGATGGGATTATATGGACATGGTACTGATAACACCGGAAGCCTTAGGCAAGAAAAGAGTCCCATTACCGAAACCATGGGGGCAGACATGTTTATTTGAAGGATGGAAAACTACATTGAAGTTATTTTAAAAAATATATAAGTTTTACTGCTGACAGAAGACTGAAAGCTAGTCTGAGGGGAGGTGGAACAGCATGAGGGAAGGTGGAACAACACGTGTCTAAGTGCTGCGTTAAGAGGGAGCCTCTTGTATGTTTGGAATTGTGAGTTCCTCAGTGTGATTGCAGCCTCAAGTAGACTAGGAAGTAAGCCAGTTAGGTTGGAGAGGTGGGCAGGGGTCAAGTGAAATGGAGAACTGTGGGCTAAGCAAAGGAGTGTGTTTTTTCTCCAGCAGGCAGTGGGGACCTTAGACATTTGTAAGCAAGTGAGAGGCACATTCAGATTTGTGGTGTGAGGAAGATCGATGCCCTAAGATGCAGACTCATGCCTTCAGATTCCAGCTGCTGGTACATGGGAGCTGGCAACCCGGTTTTGAGACAGGGCTGTTGTCTCCCTAGAAGACGCCCTCAAGGCCTGACTGTGGTGCTCATGGGCAGGAGACAACTTTGGATCTGGACTCAGCATTTGGAAGTTCCGTGTACACGATGATATCTGTTGGGGGTGTCTTGGGCCTCTGAGAAGGGCGAGTGATTTTTCTCTGTGTGAAAACGCAGTGATTCAACTGTGTGTATGTCACCTCCTGAGGGTCTTGTTCATCAGAGTCCTGGAGAGAGGGAAATGCTGAGTGAGGGAGGGTGCTCACATTTTCCAGGACTCTTTGGGAATAACAGTAGCCACGAGCCCGGGCCGAGGAGTACCTACCTCGCTATTCGCTGTTCTGTTTCCTGCAGACTCTTGGTCCATTACCGCAGCATCTGTAGAAGACGGAAGTCAACAAAACAGCTCGGAGGGCACTTCTGGGTCCTCATTTCATAAGCAGATACCAACATACAGGGGGAGACCATAGGTGGCTGAGGTCCCTCAGTTGCCAACAGCAGACTCAGACATTCTATCTCTCTGAGCTCAAGGACCCATCCCATGAATAGCTCTGAGTTCCCATCCCATTGATTCTGTCTCCCACTTTCTGCCTGTCATGGAACCTTCTCCTGGATGTGAGTGGCTGCAGGGGACATGAGGATACAGTTCAGAATCAGGCAACGGTCTGTGAGTTGAAGGCAGGGACAGGGAGTCTGGTGCCCTCTCTAGAAAGTCCTGCCTCTGTGGCTGCTGCCTTGGGCCAGGGACCATCCTGTTTGTGAGGAACACACACCTGAGTGCTCCCATCCTGCTTCCCCACATGGCCCTGAGCTCTCTGGCCTCTGCTTCGTGAGACTTACTTTTTTTGTTGGAGCACCAGCGATGAAGGAGAAAGAAGAGGAGGATGAAGAGGATGATGACCACTGAGGTCCCAATCAGAATGTGCAGGTGTCGGGGGTTACCTGGAAGAAGATGAGACACCAATAAGAAGCTAATCTTAGCAGTTCCTCTTTATGAATTGTCTCGCATTTCTTGATTGACAGGTAACCACATAAAACACCTCTTTAGGACAAGCACCCAGATGGCAGGAGACCCAGCTTTCTCCTGCTTTTTCAGTTATAGCTCTCATAGTAACCATAGAACGTGCTGAGGATACGACTACTTTAGTTGAGATGTTTGACCCCTTCAAACCTCACATTGAAATTTCACCCCCACTGTGGGAGGTTGGGCCTCTTGAGAGGTGTTTGGGTCATGGAGGTGGATCCATCATGAACACATCAATGCTGTCCCAAGGAGACGGGGTTAGCAAGTTCCCCCTCTATTAGTTCCCGGAGAGCTGGTTGTTAAAAAGAGCTTGGAAGCTCCATCACTCCCCCTCCCCCTTGCTCCCTCTCTTGCCGTGTGATCTCTGTGGTCTCTGCACAGACAGACCCTCCTTCCCTTCTGCCAGAGTGGGAGCAGCCTGAGGCCGTCACGAGAAATAGATGCTGGTGCCATGCTTCCAGTACAGCCTGCAGAACGGTGAGGCAAACCAATCTCTTTTCTTTAGAAGTTACCGAGGCTCAAGTGTTCCTTTAGAGCAACAAAAATGGCCTAAGACAGCAACTTCCTGAGATCAGGAGGAACGTCTCAGAACACCCTGGGCTGTCTTCCTGTTCTTCCTGGAGGACGTCATGCAGTGCTTTAGCTGAGTGCTTCCTGTGGCTCCAGGGTACAAAACCCAGGCTGGGCTGCTTTCTGGCTTCCCCCAGCTACACTGCAAATGGGGTGACTCCATATGTCCCGAGCAGCTTTTCTGAGCCTTGAGGGACTGGGTCACATTGAAATATAGGTTTCTGTTGTCACTCGCTGCTTATCTGTTAGTAATGAACCTGCCTATGTAACGTATTCTCTGTGTGTTCTGTCTCCCTGGAGTGACGGTGAGTGATAGGAATTGGCATAGGCCCAGGTGCAGTCCAGGAGGTGTTTAGAGTCTTCTCTGGGAAGACTGGACTGGGATTGATTCACAGCGAATGTGCTTTAGGGTTTCTACATCCACAGCATTCTTGAATCAAACAACTTGCATTCTCCAAGGAAAGAAAACAAAAGTGAAATCAAGATAAAAAAAGCGAAATAGAATTCTCTTATGTCAAACGGCCAGGAAATAGTGTTGAAGCCCGTGTGAAACCTGCTGCTCTTTGTGATCTCGGGAGACACATATTAGGCTGCTGTTCTACCCGAGAGGCTGGGGGAAGGACCACCCCCTCGGCCATCTATTGCTTCAAAACCACCTGTCCTCCTGTGAATTAGTAGGAAAGGGGAGCAGGAGCTAGTGCTGTCGCTGATCTCTGATTCCAAGATCTGGACTCACTCCAAGGAGTGTTAATGTTTACCTCCCCATGGTCTATCTGAATCTCCACAGGTGATTGGAAGTAGGGGTGAGGTGGGGGATTTGGGTGAGTGGGCAAGTTTTTTTTGTGATGACCAGAGCACTTTCTCTATTCCAGGATCTGTGCTGGAGGATTCAGCGGGCTTTCACATTTTCTATATGATCTCATGCTCACAGAAAGCCAAATAGGGAAGAGGTTTTAGGCTCATTGCCTAATGGATAAGATAAAGGATCAAAGAAGTAATTATAGAGAAATAGAAAAATCATGATTGGAATTCAGGTGCCTTTGTCATTCGTGTGTGTTTTATTATATTTATGTATTTCTTATTTTTATTTTTTGAGATAGAGTCTCCTTGTGTCCCCCAGGCTGGAGTGCAGTGATGCAATCTCCACTCACTGCAACCTCCACCTACTGGGTTGAAGTCATTCTCCTGCTTCATCCTCCAGAATAGGAGCTGGGATTACAGGGATGCACCATCGTGCTCGGCTAATTTTTGTATTTTTAGTAGAGATAGGGTTTCACCACGTTGGCCAGGCTGGTCTGGAACTCCTGACTTCATGGAATCCACCCACCTTGGCCTCCTGCAGTGCTAGGTTACAGGTGTGAGCCACTGTTCACAGACTTGTATATTATGCTATAATAAGTCTCTTCATTTCCACCACCACTCATATATCTGTCACTCCTTTGCCAGGTATTGATTTATGTGTAGGATGAATAAATCTCAGAAAGAAATTAATTAAGTGAGGATTAAACAAGTAGGAAAATCAAACCCAGTAAGCCTTTCCAGTCAATGATTCTACCTCACAAACATATCTTATATCCATCTACTTCATTCATTTAGTGTCTAAATCAGCACCACATTTCACCAGTGGGGCGGCAATTGCCTTTTCCACGGTCTCCTAGATTCCAGTTATGCACCTGGGCCTCCCTTATTTTCATGTCAGTCATATTA
This sequence comes from Homo sapiens, assembly GCF_000001405.40. Taxonomy (NCBI): domain Eukaryota; kingdom Metazoa; phylum Chordata; class Mammalia; order Primates; family Hominidae; genus Homo; species Homo sapiens. The sequence goes on along the minus strand of NW_016107301.1, from coordinate 82,202 downwards.
ATCATGTAGGGATTCCTGGTTACCCCGAGGTGAATCCAATGGCTGTGAGTGTCAAGCACACACTCCTTGTTCCTCCTTAGTTTCCTGTGTACCCAGTGTGCTCTCCGTCTCTCTACAGTCGTCTTGTCATTCTCCCCACCTCATTCCCAGCATTTGAGTCAGAGCCTCTTCCTTCCACATCAGATTGTTTTCACCTTTGTGCCTTCATGGCTGACAGCTGTGTGTGCAAAATCCTTCCGCCAATCTTTCAGGGGTTCATTCCGTGTTTTTCATTAATGTCACAAATATCTGAATAGTGAGACCTTCTTTGTCACCTGAAATCATACACTCAGCATTATCTATTATTGATTTTGAATTCTGGCTGGGCACAGTGGCTCACGCCTGTAGTCCCATTACTTTGGCATGCTGAGACGGTCGGATCACTTGAGGTTGGGAGTTTCAGACAAGCTTGGCCAACGTGGTGAAACATCCTCTCTACAAAAAATATACAAAAAGAATTAGCCGGGCACGGTGGCAGTTGCCTGTAATCCCAGCTACTCGAGAGGCGGAGGCAGGAGAATCCCTTGAATCCAGGAGACGCAGGTTGCAGTGAGCCAAGATCGTGACACTGCACTGTAGCCTGGAAGACAGAGGGCGACTCTGTCTCAATAAACAAAAGAACAAACAAAAAATAGATTTCATGCACAGATGCTTCCCAATGGACCATTCATTTATAGATCCACTTGTGCGTTCATTTTCTGCCCTCCCATTTAACCATCTGCAATATCAGTGTCCCAAGGGCAGAGGCCAAATGCATCTTGTTCACTGTTTGTGGAAGGCAGGAGAATGCTGTCCCACCCCAAAATGTCCCTGTCCTAGCCTCCACAGCTTGTGAATATGTTATTTTACATGGAAAGGAGGAATGAAGATTGCAGATGGAATTATGGTTGCTAATCAGCTGAACTTAAAACAAGGGTATCCTGGATGATTTCCAGGAGATTATGAGGGATTTTCATCTTGGTGAACCCAATAGAATCCCCAAGTTTTCAAAAGATGAGGAAGAAGGGAGAGCAGCACTCAGAGAAAGAGGTGTGGTAAGGAAGAAGGCACTGAGTGATGCCATGTGAGATGTGACCAGTCTTTGTGGGCTTTGAGGAAGGAGGAAGGGGACCAGGAGCCAAGGAACTGGGAGCCTTTAGAAGCTGGGACAAGTGAGAAGCAGATTCGTGCCTGGAATCCTCAGAGGGAAGGCAGCCTTGCTGTCACCTTGATTTTAGCCCAGTAAGATGCACTTCCTACTTTGAGCTACAGCACTGTAAGATAATTAAAAAACCGTTTTGTTTTCACCCACGAATCTTGTGGAAATTTGTTATGGCAACAATAGGAAAAGGTTCCACACTGCACAGCCTGAGCATGGGGCCGTGGCTGAATGAGTCAGTGAGTCGAAGTGTGCGTGCATGAGCTCTGTTCTCTGTTACGGCAAGGCTCTTTCTCTGCGGAGTCAGCCAGGGTTGCTTCATGACCTACAGGAGCTCATTCCTTGGCAAGTGGAACTTCTCTAAAACACCTTGCCCTCATCAGATGTTCCCTTCCCTTCCCTCTCTCAAGTCTCCAGGAATTTATCCTCCAGTTAGGAATGCAGGTAGAACAAACATTGCATTTTTCCTGAGAAGGATGTCAGATTGGCAATCATTCTTCTAGCTTGTAGGAGGTCTCAGCTCCATAAAATGAGAGATGAAGAGATTTCACTGAGCCCTGTGTTGGGCCCAGATCCCTTTCGCTGTAGGAGTATCTGGAGTTCGGAGATGGTGGAAGACAAGTGTACAATGTCAGAGCTGTGAGATGCTGAGTCAACGCCTGAATCCAAGGTTCCCACCTCCCCAGGGTTCCAAAAGCGGATATAAGAGGGTTCTGTACTCACCGGTTTTGGAGCTTGGTTCAGTGGGTGAAGGCCAACTATTTGAAGGGTTTCCTAGAACATGAGACAGGAGAGAGGTGAGGAAATGAGGGTGTCTGTCCTCCACTCAGTGGAAATCTTTGAGGATGGTTCATGGCCAACACTCTCTTATCTAATATTGGGCCCTGGGAGTCCTGGGATCCTTTTTTCCATAATTTTTTTATATGACACCCACTGTCTTGAGACTTCAAGATATAAAGAGAAAACAGGAGCATCACACTACCTGATCTCAAAATATGTTACAGAGCTGTAGTAAGCAAAATAGCATGACATTGGCATAAAGAAAGGCACATAGAACAACGGAGCAGAATGAATAACACAGATATATTCCATGCATTTACATCCAATGGTTTTTTATTTTTTCTTTTGAGATGGAGTCTTGCTCTGTCACTCAGGCTGGAGTGCAGAGGTGCAATCTCGGTTCACTGCAACCTCAGCCTCCTGGGTTCAATCATTCTCTTGCCTCAAATTCCTGAGTAGTGGTATTACAGGTGCTGACCACCATGCTCAGCTAATTTTTATATTTTTAGTGGAGACGATGTTTCATCACGTTGGCCAGACTAATCTTGAACTCCTGGCCTCAGGTGATCCACCCACCTCGGGCTCCCAAAGTGCTGAAATTGCAGGTGTTAGCCACCAAGCCCAGCCCATCCAATGGACTTTGACAAAGATGCCAAGAACTCACAATCAGGAAAGGACAGTCTTTTCAATAAACAGTGCAGGGAAACCTGGACATCTACATGCAGAGGAATGAAACTGCAACTCTACCTGTCACCATACACAAAAATCAAATGAAAATGGATTAAAGATGTGAGTCTAAGGCCTGAACCTATGAAACACGTAGAACAAAATATTGGGGAAATGCTCCAGGACGTTTGTCTGAAGGAAGACATTTTGTTTTAAACCTTCAAAACACAAGTAATCGAAGCAAAAATAGACCATTGGGATTACCTCAAACTAAGCAACTTCAGCACTGCTAAAAATAAACCAACAAAGTGAAGAGACAACCCACAGATTGGGAGCAAATATGTGCAAACTATGCATCTGAGATGGGATTAATAACTAGAAATATAAGAAGCTCAAACAACTCAATAAAACAAATGATTTAATTGAAAAAGGAGCAAAAGACATGAAATTTCCCCACATACGAAAAAGTGCTCAGTATCACTCATCATCAGAGAAACGCAAATTAAAATCAAAGTGAGTTTTCATCTCACCCCATTAAAATGGCTTTTAGGCCGGGTGAGGTGGCTCACTTGTGTCATCCTAGAACTTTGAGAACCTGAGGTGGGTGAATCTCATAAGGTTGGGAGTTTGAGACCAGTCTGACCCACATAGAGAAACGCTGTCTCTACTAAAAATACAAAAATTAGTAGGGCGTGGTGGCGTGTGCCTGTAATTCCAGCTACTCGGGAGGCTGAGGCAGGAGAATCGCTTGAACCTGGGAGGTGGAGGTTGTGGTGAGCCGAGATAGCGCCACTGCACTCCAGCCTGGGTGAGAAGAGCAAAACTCCATCTCAAAATAAAATGAAATAAAATAAAATGGCTTTTAGCTGCAAGACAGGCAAAAGAAATGCTGGCAAGGTGGTAGAGAAAGGAGAACCCTGGTACCCTGTTGGGAGGAGTGTAAATTAGTACAGCCATTACGGAGAAAAGTATGGAAGTCCTTTAAAGAACTAAAAAGAGGTTGGGTGAGGTGGATCATGCCTGTAATCCCGGCACTTTGGGAGACTGAGGCGGGCACCTCAGTTGAGGTCATGAGTTTGAGAGCAGCCCAGCCAACATGGGGAAACCGCATCTATACTAAAAAAACCAAAAAGTAGCCAGGCATGGTGGTGTGCACCTGTAATCCCAGCTACTAGGGAGGCTGAGGCAGGAAAATCATTTGAACCCAGGAGGCGGAGGTTGCAATGAGCCAAGGTTGCACCACTTTGACTCCAGCTTGGGCTAAGGAGGGAAACTCTTTCTCAAAAAAGAAAAAAAAAAAAAAAAAAGAGAACTTTCATAGTATCCAGCAATTTCACTACTGGGTTTATATCCAAAGGAAAGTAAATCAACATATCGAAGTGATATCTGCACTCGTATGATTGGTGCAGCACTGTTCACAGTAGCCAAGATGAGGAGTCAACCTACCTGCCCATCAGTGGGTGAATGGATAGAGAGAATGTAGTACATACGCACAGTGGAGACTACTCATCCATAGAAAGAATAACATCCTGTCATTTGCAGCCACATGGATGGAACTGGAGGTCATTAAAAAGATTCCCATTTCTCACCCATATACAGGAGCTAAAAGGTGGATCTCATGAAGGTAGAGAGTAGAATGGTGGCTACTGGAGGACAGGAAGAAAAGGGTGGAGGGTAAAAAAAATGTATATATATATATATATAAAAATGTATTTATGACCACTAGACTTTACACTTAAAAATGGTAAATGTGGCTGGGCCTGGTGGCCCATGCCTGTAATCCCAGCACTTTGGGAGGCTGATGCGGGTGGATCACGTGGTCAGGAGTTCGAGACCAGCTCGACCAACATGGTGAAACCACCTCTCTACTAAAAATACAAAAAGTAGCCTGGCGTGGTGGTGCGTGCCTGTAGCACTAGCTACTCAGGTGGCTGAGGCAGGAGAATCGCTTGAACCCAGGAGGCGGAGGTTGCAGTGAGCTGAGATTGTGCCACTGCACTCCATCATAGGGGACAGAGCTAGACTCCACCTCAAAAAAAAATGTTAAAAGTGGTAAGCTATATAGGTATATTTATCCTCAATAAATATTTCTTCAAAGAAAAGTAAAGGGTGTAGGGGTTGCTGGTGATGACATCTCTGTGTGGGTGAGAGGCCAGGATGGGCTTCTGGGAAATGGGTAAGGTTGAGGGGCTGAGGGAACCTCTGATCTCCCCAAACTGAGCCCAGTCTCCCTCCTCTGGGTCTCTCCTGACCGCTTTCTCCATCTGCCTGGGTGCCTGGAGCCCTGGCCGTGGGCCTCCATGCAGGCCATGTAGGAGGGTTTGGAGGTGCCCTGTCGGCCATCCTGTGCCCTGATCCCTCCCTCACACCGAGGCTGCGTCTTCTCTCTGCATCTGTCCATGCTTCTCTCCATCCTCAGCAGGAAGCTCCTCAGCTAAGGCTCTAGGATCATAGGACATGGGACAGCCATGGGCTTTCCTCACCTGTGACAGAAACAAGCAGTGGGTCACTTGACTTTGACCACTCGTATGGAGAGTCATGGAAAGAGCCGAAGCATCTGTAGGTCCCTCCGTGGGTGGCAGGGCCCAGAGGAAAGTCAGCCTGGAATGTTCCGTTGACCTTGGGCCCTGCAGGGAGCCTACGTTCATGGGCCTCCCCTTCCCTGGATAGATGGTACATGTCATAGGAGCTCCGGGAGCTGCAGGACAAGGTCACATTCTCTCCTGCCAGAACCGTGGGGCCCGGCTGGGCTGAGAGAGAAGGTTTCTCATATAGACCTGGAAGGAGAAGAGGCAGTTTCCTCAGGGAGGATCTTCTTTGTCACAGCTCCCTTCACCTGAGCTGAGAACTCACTCCCCTGTTCTATGACCTAATGCTCTCTCTCTCTCTCTCTCACCCTCTACCCCATCGCTCTTCATGTCTATTTCCTCCTTCCACCTTCTCTGTCTCTCTAGGTCTCTGACCTCACTTCCCCACCTCTAGATATGTTTTCTCTTTTTGGATTGTTTTATTCTCTCTGACTCTCCTTGGATTGGTTGACTTGATGTTACTTTTTTTAATTCTGAGTTTCTCACTTTGTGTCCTGTTCATAACTTTCTGCATATTTCTATCTATTATCTATCGATCTATCTATTTATCTATTCGGTGCCTATCTACAAATTCTCTACCTGTCATCTATATCTATATATCATCTATTTATCCATCAATTGTCTATCTATCCATCAATCATCTATTATCTATATCTATGTATCATCTCTCTCTCTCTATGATTTCTCTATGTCTGCCTCTGTATCTCTATGTATTATCTATCTATCTGTCTTCATCATCATCATCTCTATGTCTCATCTATTAATGAATCAATCAATCATCATCTATGTATCTATAACCTATTATCTATCATCTACCTATTTATCATCTATCTATATCTATCCATCTATCATCTGTCTTGCTCTGCCTCTCGGTCTCTCTAGTTCTCTTTGGAATCTCTGCAATTCATCCCCACATCTCCATCTTTCAATGTCCTTGTGCCTCTCCCTCAGGAGTCTAATTTTAGTGCTTTTCTCTGCTCCCTTCCATCATTCTCACTTCTCTGCCCTCTTTTCTCTCTCTTTATGTGTCTGTGAGTCTCTCAATCTCCTTCCTCTGGCTCATTCTCTGTGTGTTTATGTCTTTGCTTTTTGGTGTCCCTGATTTCTCTCTGTGCCTCCCACTGATCCTCTCATAAGTGGGCTTATTTGGAATATGAGCCTCAGAATCCAGTCTGGAGACTACAAGTTCACACAGCATACAGGGGTTGGTGTTGTGGGGCCATGATATCCTGGGACGATTACTCTCCATTACATGGAAGGCAGAGGTGTCAGAATAAACATGGCATCTGTAGGTGCCACAAGGCCTGAGGCCACAGGGCCCAACTCAGGTCAGAAATATGGGTGTCCTTGGGTTCTCCTGGTAGAGAACACTTTGTGGAGGTAAAACAGAAATGAAACTTCTAACCTGTGCCAGGTCTCTGAGCAAAGTCAGCATGGAGGGACACCTCTCTCTGGGACATGTCTGTCTGTGTGTCTCCTTTAACTCTTTCTGTCTTTTCTAACTCCCGGTATGGCCCCTGTGTCTGTTCTCTGTTATGACACCTGGTCTGTACTTGTGTCTCCTGTTTCTCTGTCTCTGTTGGCACAGACCTCACCAAGTCAGTCTCTCTCCATAAGAATACCAAGCTCATCTTCCTTACAGCCACCTGGGTCTCCAATTCCTGGATCATTCACTCTGCATCCCAATGACAATGAGAAGAAAGTCTGGACACTCTCACCTATGATCACGATGTCCAGAGGGTCACTGGGAGCTGACACCTGATAGGGGGAGTGAGTAACAGAACCGTAGCATCTGTAGGTCCCTGCCAGGTCTTGCGTCATGCGACTGATGGAGAAGTTGGCCTTGGAGACCCCATCATGGTGTTCTCCAATGAGGCGCAAAGTGTCGTTAAACATCCCCTCTCTGTGCAGAAGGAAGTGTTCAAACATGACATCTGACCAACATTGCAGGATGACTGTCTCTTCTGATTTCACCAGGGGACCTGGGTGGGCCAGGAGGGAAGGTTTTCTGTGGACTCCTAGGAAGAGAGGTTGTGAGTTTAGAAGGTGTCTCTCTTTATCATCCCATCCATGGCACCTGGATTGAGTCAGGCTTCCCCTTCCTGGTGTCTTATCTCTCTCCTTCCTCTCTGTGTCTTCATGTTCTTTTCTGTGCCCATAACTCCTGGTGCAGGTCCTTCCATCTGTCTCCCTCACTCTTCTCTGTCCCTCTGTCTCTAGTAGCCTCTGATTCCCTTGCCGCTGGGCTCAGCCTCATCTCTTGGGCTGTTGTATCTATTTCGAACTAATGTCTTTCCTGCTGTCTATGTGGGGGTGGAAGAGGAACCAGGATAGGCTGCACATCCAGGCTCTTAGCAGCCTGGTTCAATCTCTTTTGGACGAATTGGAATCCTTGGCAGGAGGTATGAACTGATCAGTAAGGCAGGCACCAGTGGCCACACACCCTGTTCCTGGTAGGGACTGGGAGCCACTCTTGCCATGCCAGTGCCAGCTTCCATAGGCTGGCTCCTGGTGCTGGTTGGAGGAGTATCAACCGCTCCCTATGTGGATGGAGCCTGGTGGTGGCATCATCATCTGAGCCTTGCTGATCTCAGTGTAGCCAACCTTCTCCTTGTTTGGTTTCTTTAATTAATTAATTAATTTTGGCGACAGAGTCTCACTCCTTTGCCCAGGCTGGAGTGAAGTGGTGTGGTCTAGGCTCACTGCAACCTCTGTCTCCTGGGTTCAAGTGATTCTCCTGCCCTCAGCCTCCCAAGTCGCTAGGATTACATGCACCTGCCACCATGCCTGGCTATCCTTGTGTTGTTTCTTAACTTGTCCTTGACCTGGGTTCCAGTGTTGGTTTCCTGTTGCTGCTGTAGAAAATTATCAGAAGCATGGCACCAGGAGAGAGCACACTAACCCCTTCCAATTCTGGAGACAGAAATCGGACCCTGTTTGTCGTGGGTAAAATCAAGGCACCTGCAGGGCTTCGTTCCCTCTGGAGACTCAGGAGAATCAGTTCCTTGACTTTTCCAGCCTCTATAGGCCACCTGCATTCATGGCTCCTGGACTTCCTCCACCTTCAAAGCTGGTGGAGTCTCCCATTGCGCTGCTGTAATCCCCACTCCCCTCTTCCTCCTCCTTTCATGTGGACCCCTGTGACTACACTGAGCCCATCAGGACAGTCCAGGCTGTCTCCCCATCTCAAGGTCAACTCATCAACAACCTGAGCTCCATCTTCTCCTTCAGTCCCTTCCCCTATATCATAAATAGTCACAGACTCCAGGGATTAGAATGTAGTCATCACTGGGGACAATTATTCTTCCCACCACAGCACCCATTTCCCTGTATTCAATCCCCCTTTACCCCAAATACAGTCAGGACTTGCATGATGGGACCCGCAAGGACACGCCCACCAGGAGCTCTGGGATTCAGGAGGTGGGACAAGGAGAATCCCAGACAGGAGCCCTCTGACCTGTGACCGTGATCTCCAGGGGGTTGCTGGGTGCCGACCACCCACTGGGGTAGTGTGGTTGTGAACCCCGACATGTATAGGTCCCTGCGTGTGCTGGGGTCACAGGGCCCATGAAAAGGCTGTTCCAGAATATTATGTTGTAGAGCTCAGGGACAGGCACCCCATCTTCCTTTTACAGACTGAAGTTGTTAAACCCAAGATAAGAATGACACTGAAGAATCACATGTCCTGGAGGCACCACAGGGCTTGGCCAGGCAGACAGCAAGGGCTTGTCCTGACCACCGTGGGGAGAAGGAGGCACCGCCTTAGAGAGGAGGATGTGGAGCCGCCCCTCCCTCCCTGTGCTCTGAAGATTCTCCTCGCTTTCCAAGTTTCTATGGCTGCTATCACACCTTGGTGCCCAGGGCTAAAGGAAGGACCCATCCCGCAAACACAAGGTGTCTCCCTACAACAAAAGTGTCAGCTGAGAACTTTGAGCAAGTGCTGAGTAAGAGACTCCTACTAGATTTTAATACTGTAAGATTACTCACATAAAACAACACAGGGTAGACATGGGGTGGAGGGCATGTCCTTTGAGAATGGAATATCAGCCGATGCCTGAACGAAAATAAACAACTGAGTCCCCATCAGAGGATTGGAATGTCAGGGCCATGGCTGTGGTTTTCCCACCTCTTCTGGTAGAATGACAGCAGCCACACTGCAGCCCCTACCGTCATGGAAACGCTGAAGTGTGTGAGTAACACCTTTGTCCTCAGAGGATCTGCTGTTCCTACCACTTCCCCACCACACACCCCAGCTTTGAGCACCGTAGTCTAACCCTGGTCCCCACAGAACTTGACTCTGCCAAGGGAATGAAAGGCCAGGGAGGCAAGGTCAGAAATGTGGGCCCAGCACCCCAGGGTCCCTTCTTCCTAGTTTATGAGAGACTCCCTGACAGGACTTCCCTCCCATTTCAGGAAAATCCTCTTATGTGGGGAGATGACACCCGAAGGTTTGGAGAAGGACTCACCCTCATGTGGCCAGGCCCCCTGCAGCAAGAAGAACCCTGGAAAGAAAGATCATGATGGATGACCCATCTGCAGGCAAACCAGGGCACCCTTGCTGCCCCCACTGGGCTGTGAGTCTTGGTAGCCAGGCCCTTCCTGGGCTGAAGGTAAACTCACCCTCAGTGCCTACCTGCACCCAAGAACAGGGCTGTCGGCTGTGCAGAGACCCAGCCTCCAGGTCCATATCCCCACCTCAAGCCCATATCTCCACTCCAGGCCCATATCTCCACTCCAGGCCGATATTTCCACCCTAAGCCCATATCGCCAATCCAGGCCCATATCTCCAATCCAGGCTCAGATCTCCACCCTGGGCCCATATCTCCAATCCAGGCCCTTATCTCCACTCCAGGTCCATATCTCCTCTCCAGTCCCATATCTCCACTCCAGGCCCATATATCCTCTCCAGTCCCATATCTCCACACCCAGGCCCGTATCTCCATCCTAGGCACATATCTCCTCTCCAGGCCCAGATATCGACCTCTAGGCCCATATCTCCACTCCTGGCCCATATCTCCACTCCAGGCCCAGATATCGACCTCTAGGCCCATATCTCCACTCCTGGCCCATATCTCCACTCCAGGCCCATGTCTCCACTTCAGGCCCATATCTCTACTGCAGGCCCGTAACTCCACCTCCAGGCCCATGACTCCACTCCAGGCCCATATCTCCACCTCCAGGCCCATATCTCCCCTCCAGGTTCCTATCTCCCCTCCAGGTTCCTATCTCCACTCCAGGCCCAGATCTCCACTACAGTCCCATCACTCCACCTCCAGGCCTATATCTCGACCTCTGGGCCCAGATCTCCACTTCTAGGCCCATCACTCCATCTCTAGGCCCATATATCCACTCCAGGCCCAGATCTCCACTCCAGGCCCATAACTCCACCTCCAGGCCTATATCTCCACCTCTGGGCCCAGATCTCCATCCCCTCACTCCCTCCCTCTATTGCTTTCCAGGACTCACCAACACACGCCATGCTGACGAACAAGAGCGACATGGTGCTGCCGGAGCAGACAGGCAGCCGCGACCGAGCTCAGCTCAGCAGCGCACAGGATGTTATTTGGCGCCCTGCCCATGCAGTTTACATGTTGACCACATCATGGGAGGGTGACGTACGCAGGCTCTTTCTACCTTGCATGAGGCCCAGTGGGTGCTCGCTCAAGAGCGGAACACGGCTTCCTGGAAATTGTTCTCGCTAGAATTTGACACCTAGTGTCCTTCACTATGACCAACTCAAAACACGTCTGAGATCCAACCTCCCGAACACGAGATGCCTAAAATCTGTGCTAACATGAAAGACTTTTCATGTATTTCTATTGTTTTTATCTGAGATTCAAACTCTTCTTCCTGTGTAATATGCAAAATATCTAATAGGTATTATTAATGTTTTCAGAGTCATTGTGACTAACAAACCATTAGAATTTTTCATGCTTGTATTTCTAGTATTACAGCAGAACCAGTTAAAATGATTTAAATTCCCAGGGAAGGATTATGCAATTATTTACAATCTTAGAATTGTACTTTATCAGTAAAAACCCCACCTGTAAATTCTGGAGTTTTGTAGTTTAATCTAAAATTTGTCTCATGACCCAAGATTCCAGAGTCCCAACTCTGGAGTTTGTTTTCCGTCTGTCTCTCTCCCTCCCTCATTTTAAATTTTACAGAAATATCCAGTAACATAATGCTATAGAAAATCAAGTTTCCCCAGCACGTTGGGAAGCCGAGGTGGGCGGATCAACTGAGATAAGGAGTTTGAGAGCAGCCTGGCCAATATAGTGAAACCGTGTCTCTGTTAAAAATCCAAAAATTAGCCGTGCCTGGTGGCAGGCACCTGTAACGCCAGCTACTCAAGAGGCTGAGGCACGAGAATCGCTTGAACCTGGGAGGCAGAAGTTGCAGTGAGCTGAGATTGTGTCACTGCAGTCCAGCCTGGGCGACAGAGCAAGACTCCGCCTCAAGAAAAAAAAGCAAATAGCCTATAATAACAAATTAGAGAGCTCTGGCTACTAAATTTAAAGGGTTCTATAAGGCTACATAAAGTGCAGCATCATCAAGAGTGTGGACACAGAGAGCCCCTTAGCAGAAACAGTGTCTAAAGTACATCCGTGTACACACAGTCCCTTTAGAGTTGACAAAGGCTGCCGTGTGGTTTAAGGTGGCATAGAATGTCTTCTCAATAAATAATATTAAACCAATGGGTTATACCTAGGAAAAAATAAATCTAACTCACACTATAAAAACACTTCTTAGTTTTTATCTAGTTGTACATTTTTTATGATTTATATTTAAATTTGAGAAATAAAAGTCATATACGGTCATCCTTCACTATTCCTGGGTGATTGGTTTCGAGATCTCCACTCAGATACCAAAATCTGTAGATGCTCAAGCCTCTTATATGAAATGGCACAGAGTTTGCAAATAACCTATGCACATCCTCCTGTATACATGAAATCATCTCTAGATTACTTATAATTCCTGATGCAGCCTACACACAGCTTCATTTGTGTCCATTCAACACAGTTCTGCTTTTTGTAACTCTGTGGATACTTTCTCTGAATATTTTTGATTTATACTCGGTTCAATAAAGAACTGTAAACCCCACAGATATGGAGGAGTGACTGTATATTTATAGTGTGAAAGATGATGTGTTGATATGTGTCCCTGTGTAGATGAGACTAACAAGGCCTATGACTCTACAAATGTTTCATCTTGGAATGACTCTGCCAGATTTCCAGGTCTGCAGAGAGTAAGAATATCACTTGTTCATGTGATTCACGATCCTTGGAACCTCCTATGTGCTACATCTTTGGATGGAAATAGGAGTCCCAGAGACAAATGAGGCTCCACCCTGCTTCCAGAAACTCAGAGTCCGGGGGTGAGAACCCAGTGGAGAACAGATGGGGTTATGTGGACATGGTAATGATAACACTGGAAGTCTTAGGCAAGAAAAGAGTCCCATTACCGAAACCATGAGGGCAGACATGTTTATTTGAAGGAGGGAAAACTACATTGAAATTATTTTAAAAAATATATAAGTTTTACTGCTGACAGAAGGCTGAAAGATACTCTGAGGGGAGGTGGAACAGCATGAGGGAAGGTGGAACAGGACGTGTCTAAGTGCCGTGTTAAGAGGGAGCCTCTTGTATGTTTGGAACTGTGAGTTCCTCAGTGTGATTGCAGCCTCAAGTAGACTAGGAAGTAAGCCAGTAAGGTTGGAGAGGTGGGCAGGGGTCAAGTGAAATGGAGAATTGTGGGCTAAGCAAAGGAGTGTGTTTTCTCTCCAGCAGGCAGTGGGGACCTTAGACATTTGTAAGCAAGAGAGAGGCACATTCAGATTTGTGGTGTGAGGAAGAGCGATGCCCTAAGATGCAGACTCACGCCTTCAGATTCCAGCTGCTGGTACATGGGAGCTGGCAACCCGGTTTTGAGACAGGGCTGTTGTCTCCCTAGAAGATCCCCTCAAGGCCTGACTGTGGTGCTCATGGGCAGGAGACAACTTTGGATCTGGACTCAGCATTTGGAAGTTCCGTGTACACTCTGGTATCTGTTGGGGGTGTCTTGGGCCTCTGAGAAGGGCGAGTGATTTTTCTCTGTGTGAAAACGCAGTGATCCAACTGTACGTATGTCACCTCCTGAGGGTCTTGTTCATCAGAGTCCTGGAGAGAGGGAAATGCTGAGTGAGGGAGGGTGCTCACGTTTTCCAGGACTGTTTGGGAATAACACTAGCCACGAGGCTGGGCCGAGGAGCACCTACCTCGCTATTCGCTGTTCTGTTCCCTGCAGGCTCTTGGTCCATTACAGCAGCATGTGTAGGAGACGGAAGTCAACAAAAGAGCTCGGAGGGCACTTCTGGGTCCTCATTTCATAAGCAGATACCAACAAACAGGGGGAGGCCATAGGTGCCTGAGGTCCCTCAGTTGCCAACAGCAGACTCAGACATTCTATCTCTCTGAGCTCAAGGACCCATCCCATGAATAGCTCTGAGTTCCCATCCCATTGATTCTGTCTCCCACTTTCTGCCTGTCATGGAACCTTCTCCTGGATGTGAGTGGCTGCAGGGGACATGAGGATACAGTTCAGAATCAGGCAACGGTCTGTGAGCTGAAAGCAGGGACAGGGAGTCTGGTGCCCTCTCTAGAAAGTCCTGCCTCTGTGGCTGCTGCCTTGGGCCAGGGACCATCCTACCTGTGAGGAACACACACCTGAGTGCTCCCATCCTGCTTCCCCACATGGCCCTGAGCTCTCTGGCCTCTCCTTCGTGAGACTTACTTTTCTTGTTGGAGCACCAGCGATGAAGGAGAAAGAAGAGGAGGAGGATGAAGAGGATGATGACCACTGAGGTCCCAATCAGAACGTGCAGGTGTCTTGGGTTACCTGGAAGAAGATGAGACACCAATAAGAAGCTAATCATAGCAGTTCCTCTTTATGAATTGTCTCGCATTTCTTGATTGACAGGTAACCACGTAAAACACCTCTTTAGGACAAGCACCCAGATGGCGGGAGACCCAGCTTTCTCCTGCTTTCTCAGTTATAGCTCTCAAAGTAACCATAGAATGTGCTGAGGATACAACTACTTTAGTTGAGATGTTTGACCCCTTCAAACCTCACATTGAAATTTCACCCCCATTGTGGGAGGTTGGGCCTCTTGAGAGGTGTTTGGGTCATGGAGGTGGATCCATCATGAACAGATCAATGCTGTCCCAAGGAGACGGGGTTAGCTAGTTCCCCCTCTATTAGTTCCCAGAGAGCTGGTTGTTCAAAAGAACTTGGAAGCTCCATCGCTCCCCCTCCCCCTTGCTCCCTCTCTTGCCGTGTGATCTCTGTGGTCTCTGCACAGACAGACCCTCCTTCCCTTCTGCCAGAGTGGGAGCAGCCTGAGGCCATCACGAGAAATAGATGCTGGTGCCATGCTTCCAGTACAGCCTGCAGAACGGTGAGGCAAACCAATCTCTTTTCTTTAGAAGTTGCCCAGGCTCAAGTGTTCCTTTAGAGCAACAAAAATGGACTAAGACAGCAACGTCCTGAGATCAGGAGGAACGTCCCAGAGCAGCCTGGGCTGTCTTCCTGTTCTTCCTGGAGGAGGACGTCATGCAGTGCTTTAGCTGAGTGCTTCCTGTGGCTCCAGGGTACAAAACCCAGGCTGGGCTGCTTTCTGGCTTCCCCCAGCTACACTGCAAATGGGGTGACTCCATATGTCCCGAGCAGCTTTTCTGAGCCTTGAGGGACTGGCTCACATTGAAATGTAGGCTTCTGTTTTCACTCGCTGCTTATCTGTTAGTAATGAACCTGCCTATGTAACGTATTCTCTGTGTGTTCTGTCTCCCTGGAGTGACGGTGAGTGATAGGAATTGGCGTAGGCCCAGGTGCAGTCTAGGAGGTGTTTAGGGTCTTTTCTGGGAAGACTGCACTGGGATTGACACACAGCGAATGTGCTTTAGGATTTCTACATCCACAGCATTCTTGAGTCAAACAACTTGCGTTCTCCAAGGAAAGGAAACAAAAGTGAAATCAAGATAAAAAAGCGAAATAGAGTTATCTTATGTCCAACAGCCAGGAAATCGTGTTGAAGCCCCTGTGAAACGTCCTACTCTTTGTGATCTCGGGAGACACATGTTAGGCTGCTGTTCTACCTGAGAGGCTGGGGGAAGGACCACCCCCTCCACCATCTATTGCTTCAATACCACCTGTCCTCCTGTGAATTAGTAGGAAAGGGGAGCAGGAGCTAGTGCTGGTGCTGATCTCTCATTCCAAGATCTGGACTCACTCCAAGGAGTATTAATGTTTACCTCCCCATGGTCTATCTGAATCTCCACAGGTGATTGGAAGTAGGGGTGAAGTGGGGGATTTGAGTGAGAGGGCAAGTTTTTTTTGTGATGAACAGAGCACTTTCTCTATTCCACGATCTGTGCTGGAGGATTCAGCGGGCTTTCACATTTTCTATATGGTCTCATGCTCACAGAAAGCCAAATACGGAAGAGGTTTTAGGCTCATTGCCTAATGGATAAGACAAAGGATCAAAGAAGTAATTATAGAGAAATAGAAAAATGATGATTGGAATTCAGGTGCCTTTGTCATTCGTGTGTGTTTTATTATATTTATGCATTTCTTATTTTTATTTTTTGAGACGGAGTCTCCTTGTGTCACCCAGGCTGGAGTGCAGTGATGCAATCTCCACTCACTGCAACCTCCACCTCCTGGGTTGAAGTTGTTCTCCTGCTTCATCCTCAAGAGTAGGAGCTGGGATTACAGGGATGCACCACCATGCTCGGCTAATTTTTGTATTTTTCATAGAGACAGGGTTTCACCATTTTGGCCAGGCTGGTCTGGAACTCCTGACTTCAAGTGATCCACCCGCCTTGGCCTCCTGCAGTGCTGGGAATTGCCTTTTCCACGGCCTGAGCATGGGGCCGTGGCTGAATGAGTCAGTGAGTCGAAGTGTGCGTGCATGAGCTCCGTTCTCTGTTAAGGCAAAGCTCTTGCTCTGCTGAGTCAGCCAGGGTTGCTTCATGACCAACAGTAATTCATTCCTGGGCAAGTGGAACTTCTCTAAAACACCTTGCCCTCATCAAATGTTCCCTACCCTTCCCTCTCTCAAGCCCCCAGGAATTTATCCTCCAGTTAGGAATGCAGGCAGAACAAACATTGCATTTTTCCTGAGAAGGATGTCAGATTGCCAATCATTTTTCTAGCTTGTAGGAGATCTCAGCTCCATAAAATGAGAGATTAAGAGATTTCACTGAGCCCTGTTTTGGGTCCAGATCCCTTTCGCTGTTGGAGTATCTGGAGTTCGGAGATGGTAGAAGACAGGCGTACAATGTCAGAGCTGTGAGATGCTGAGTCAACGCCTGAATCCAAGGTTTCCACCTCCCCAGGTTTCCAAAAGCGGATATAAGAGGGTTCTGTACTCACCGGTTTTGGAGCTTGGTTCAGTGGGTGAAGGCCAACTATTTGAAGGGTTTCCTAGAACACGAGACAGGAGAGAGGTGAGGAAATGAGGGTGTCTGTCCTCTACTCAGTGGAAATCTTTGAGGTTGGTTCATGGCCAACACTCTGTTATCTAATATTGGGCCCTGGGAGTCCTGGGATCCTTTTTTCCGTAATTTTTGTATGTGACGGCTACTGTCTTGAGACTTCAAGGTATAAAGAGAAAACAGGAGCATCACACTACCTGATCTCAAAATATGTTACAGAGCTGTAGTAAGCAAGACAGCATGACGTTGGCATGAAGAAAGGCACATAGAACAACGGAGCAGAATGAATAACACAGATATAATCCATGCATTTACCTCCAATGTATTTTTTGTTTTTCTTTTGAGATGGAGTCTTGCTCTGTCACCCAGGCTGGAGTGCAGAGGTGCAATCTCGGTTCACTGCCACCACAGCCTCCTGGGTTCAATCACTTCTCTTGCCTCAAACTCCTGAGTAGTGGTATTACAGGTGCTGACCACCATGCTCAGCTAATTTTTATATTTTTAGTGGAGACGATGTTTCATCACGTTGGCCAGACTAATCTTGAACTCTTGGCCTCAGGTGATCCACCCACCTCGGGCTCCCAAAGTGCTGAAATTGCAGGTGTCAGCCACCATGCCCAGCCCATCCAATGGACTTTGACAAAGGTGCCAAGAACTCACAATCAGGAAAGGACAGTCTTTTCAATAAACAGTGCAGGGAAACCTGGACATCTACATGCAGAGGAATGAAACTGCACCTCTGCCTGTCACTATACACAAAAATCAAATGAAAATGGATTAAAGATGTGAGTCTAAGGCCTGAACCTATGAAACACGTAGAAGAAAATATTGGGGAAATGCTCCAGGACGTTTGTCTGAAGGAAGACATTTTGTTTTAAACCTTCAAAACACAAGTAATCGAAGCAAAAATAGACCATTGGGATTACCTCAAACTAAGCAACTTCTGCACCGCTAAAAATAAACCAACAAAGTGAAGAGACAACCCACAGATTGGGAGCAAATATGTGCAAACTATGCATCTGAGATGGGATTAATAACTAGAAATATAAGAAGCTCAAACAACTCAATAAAACAAATGATTTAATTGAAAAAGGAGCAAAAGACATGAAATTTCCCCACATACGAAAAAGTGCTCAGTATCACTCATCATCAGAGAAACACAAATTAAAATCAAAGTGAGTTTTCATCTCACCCCATTAAAATGGCTTTTAGGCCGGGCGTGGTGGCTCACGTCTGTCATCCTAGAACTTTGAGAGCCTGAGGTGGGTGAATCTCATAAGGTCGGGAGTTTGAGACCAGTCTGACCCACATGGAGAAACACTGTCTCTACTAAAAATACAAAAATTAGTCGGGCGTGGTGGCGTGTGCCTGTAATTCCAGCTACTCGGGAGGCTGAGGCAGGAGAATCGCTTGAACCTGGGAGGTGGAGGTTGTGGTGAGCCGAGATCGCACCACTGCACTCAGCCTGGGTGACAAGAGCGAAACTCCATCTCAAAATAAAATGAAATAAAATAAAATGGCTTTTAGCTGCAAGACAGGCAAAAGAAATGCTGGCAAGGTGTTAGAGAAAGGAGAATCCTGGTATCCTGTTGGTAGGAGTGTAAATTAGTACAGCCATTACGGAGAAAAGTGTGGAAGTCCTTTAAAGAACTAAAAAGAGGTTGGGTGAGGTGGATCATGCCTGTAATCCCGGCACTTTGGGAGACCGAGGCGGGCACCTCAGTTGAGGTCATGAGTTTGAGAGCAGCCCAGCCAACATGGGGAAACCGCATCTATACTAAAAAAAACAAAAAGTAGCCAGGCATGGTGGCGTGCGCCTATAATCCCTGATACTAGGGAGGCTGAGGCAGGAAAATCATTTGAACCCAGGAGGCAGAGGTTGCAATGAGCCAAGATGACATCACTTGTACTCCAGCCTGGGCACAGAGGGAAACTGTCTCAAAAACAAAAACAAAACAACAAACGAAAAACTAAAAAGAGAACTTTCATAGTATCCAGCAATTTCACTACTGGGTTTATATCCAAAGGAAAGTAAATCAATATATCGAAGTGATATCTGCACTCGTATGATTGGTGCAGCACTCTTCACAGTAGCCAAGATGAGGAGTCAACCTACCTGCCCATCAGTGGGTGAATGGATAGAGAGAATGTGGTACATTTGCATAGTGGAGACTACTCTTCCATAGAAAGAAAAACATCCTGATATTTGCAGCCACATGGATGGAACTGGAGGTCATTACAAAGATTCCCATTTCTTACCCATATACAGGAGCTAAAAGGTGGATCTCATGAAGGTAGAGAGTAGAATGGTGGCTACCAGAGGCCAGGAAGAAAAGGGTGGAGGGTAAAAAAAAATATGTGTATATATATATATATTAATGTATTTATGACCACTAGACTTTACACTTAAAAATGGTAAATGTGGCTGGGCGTGGTGGCTCATGCCTGTAATCCCAGCACTTTGGGAGGCTGATGCGGATGGATCACGTGGTCAGGAGTTCCAGACCAGCTTGACCAACATGGTGAAACCCCCTCTCTACTAAAAATACAAAAAGTAGCCTGGCATGGTGGTGCACGCCTGTAGCACCAGCTACTCAGGTGGCTGAGGCAAGAGAATCGCTTGAACCCAGGAGGCGGAAGTTGCAGTGAGCTGAGATTGTGCCAATGCACTCCAGCATAGGGGACAGAGCTAGACTCCGCCTCAAAAAAAAAATGTTAAAGGTGGTAAGCTATATAGGTATATTTATCCTCAATAAATATTTCTCAAACAAAAGTAAAGGGTGTAGGGGTTGCAGGTGATGACATCCCTGTGTGGGTGGGAGGCCAGGATGGGCTTCTGGGAAATGGGTAATGTTGAGGGGCTGAGGGAACCTCTGATCTTCCCAAACTGAGCCCAGTCTCCCTCCTCTGGGTCTCTCCTGACCGCTTTCTCCATCTGCCTGGGTGCCTGGAGTCCTGGCCGCAGGCCTTCATGCAGGCCATGTAGGAGGGTTTGGAGGTGCCCTGTCTGCCATCCTGTGCCCTGATCCCTCCCTCACACCCAAGCTTCGTCTTCTCTCTGCATCTGTTCATCCTTCTCTCCATCCTCAGCAGGAAGCTCCTCAGCTAAGGCTCTAGGATCATAGGACATGGGACAGCCATGGGCTTTCCTCACCTGTGACAGAAACAAGCAGTGGGTCACTCGAGTTTGACCACTCGTAGGGAGAGTCACGGAAAGAGCCGAAGCATCTGTAGGTTCCTCCGTGGGTGGCAGGGCCCAGAGGAAAGTCAGCCTGGAATGTTCCGTTGACCTTGGGCCCTGCAGAGAACCTACGTTCATGGGCCTCCCCCTCCCTGGATAGATGGTACATGTCATAGGAGCTCCGGGAGCTGCAGGACAAGGTCACGCTCTCTCCTGCCAGAACCGTGGGGCCCGGCTGGGCTGAGAGAGAAGGTTTCTCATATAGACCTGGAAGGAGAAGAGGCATTTTCCTTACGGAGGATCTTCCTTGTCACAGCTCCCTTCACCTGAGCT
This sequence comes from Homo sapiens, assembly GCF_000001405.40. Lineage (NCBI taxonomy): Eukaryota > Metazoa > Chordata > Mammalia > Primates > Hominidae > Homo > Homo sapiens. The sequence continues at coordinate 62,003 of NW_016107301.1, read as the reverse complement.
GAGAACTCACTCCCCTGCTCTATGACCTAATGCTCTCTCTCTCTGTCTCTCACCCTCCACCCCATCTCTCTTCATGTCTATTTCCTCCTTCCACCTTCTCTGTCTCTCTAGGTCTCTGACCTCGCTTCCACACCTCTAGATATGTTTTCCCTTTTTGGATTCTTTTATTCTCTCTGACTCTCCTTGGATTGGTTGACTTGATGTTACTTTTTTAAATTCTAAGTTTCTCACTTTGTGTCCTGTTCATAACTTTCTGCATATTTCTATCTATTATCTATCGATCTATCTATTTATCTATTCGGTGCCTATCTACAAATTCTCTACCTGTCATCTATGTCTATATATCATCTATGTATCTATCACTTGTCTATCTATCCATCAATCATCTGTTATCTATATCTATGTATCATCTCTCTCTCTATGACTTCTGTCTGCCTCTCTATCTCTATGTATTATCTATCTGTCTTCATCATCATCATCTCTATGTCTCATCTATTAATGAATCAATCAATCATCATCTATGTATCTTTAACCTATTATCTATCATCTACCTATTTATCATCTATCTATATCTAACCTTCTATCATCTGTCTTGCTCTGCCTCTCGGTCTCTCTAGTTCTCTTTGGAATCTCTGCAATTCATCCCCACATCTCCATCTTTCTATGTCCTTGTGCCTCTCCCTCAGGAGTCTAATTTTAGTGCTTTTCTCTGCTCCCTTCCATCATTCTCACCACTCCTCTGCCCTCTTTTCTCTCTCTTTATGTGTCTGTGAGTCTCTCAATCTCCTTCCTCTGGCTCATTCTCTGTGTGTTTATGTCTTTGCTTTTTGGTGTCCCTGATTTCTCTCTGTGCCTCTCAGTGATCCTTTCATATGTGGGGTTATTTGGAATGTGAGCCTCAGAATCCAGTCTGGAGACCACAAGTTCACACAGCATACAGGAGTTGGTGTTCTGGGGCCATGATATCCTGGGACGGTTACTCTCCATTACATGGAAGGCAGAGGTGTCAGAATAAACACGGCATCTGTAGGTGCCACAAGGCCTGAGGCCACAGGGCCCAACTCAGGTCAGAAATATGGGTGTCCTTGGGTTCTCCTGGTAGAGAACACTTTGTGGAGGTAAAACAGAAATGAAACTTCTAACCTGTGCCAGGTCTCTGAGCAAAGTCAGCATGGAGGGACACCTCTCTCTGGGACATGTCTGTCTGTCTGTCTCCTTTAACTCCTTCTGTCTTTTCTAACTCCCGGTATGGCCCCTGTGTCTGTCCTCTGTTATGACACCTGGTCTGTACTTGTGTCTCCTGTTTCTCTGTCTCTGTTGGTACAGACCTCACCAAGTCAGTCTCTCTCCATAAGAATACCAAGCTCATCTTCCTTACAACTACCTGGGGGTTCCAAGTCGTGGATCATTCACTCTGCATCCCAATGACAATGAGAAGAATGTCCGGACACTCTCACCTGTGATGACGATGTCCAGAGGGTCACTGGGAGCTGACAACTGATGGGGGAGTGAGTAACAGAACCGTAGCATCTGTAGGTCCCTGCCAGGTCTTCCATCATGGGACCGATGGAGAAGTTGGCCTTGGAAACCCCATCATGGTGCTCTCCAGTGAGGTGCAAAGTGTCGTTAAACTTCCCTTCTCTGTGCAGAAGGAAGTGCTCAAACCTGACATCTGACCAACATTGCAGGATGACTGTCTCTTCTGATTTCACCAGGGGACCTGGGTGGGCCAGGAGGGAAGGTTTTCTGTGGACTCCTAGGAAGAGAGGTTGTGAGTTTAGAAGGTGTCTCTCTTTATCATCCCATCCATGGCACCTAGAATGAGTGAGGCTTCCCCTTGCTGGTGTCTGTCTCTCTCCTTCCTCTCTGTGTCTTCATGTTCTTTTCTGTGCCCATAACTCCTGGTGCAGGTCCTTCCATCTGTCTCCCTCCCTCTTCTCTGTCCCTCTGTCTCTAGTCGCCTCTGATTCCCTTCCCACTGGGCTTAGCCTCATCTCTTGGGGTGTTGTATCTATTTCACACTAATGTCTTTCCTGCTGTTTATGTGGGGGTGAAAGAGGAACCAGGATAGGCTGCACATCCAGCCTCTTATCAGCCTGGTTCAATCTCTTTTGGATGAATTGGAATCCTTGGCAGTAGGTATGAACTGATGAATAAGGCAGGCACCAGTGTCCACACACCCTGTTCCTGGTCGGGACTGGGAGCCACTCTTGCCATGCCTGTGCCTTCTCCATGGTGCCAGCTTCCATAGGCTGGCTCCTGGTGCTGGTTTGAGGAGTATTAACCCCTCCCTATGTGGATGGAGCCTGGTGGTGGCATCATCATCCCACACTTGCTCATCTCGGTGTAGCCAACCTTCCCCTTGTTTGGTTCCTTTAATTAATTAATTAATTATGGAGACAGAGTCTCACTCCTTCACCCCAGCTGGAGTGAAGTGGTGTGGTCTAGGGTCACTGCAACCTCTGTCTCCTGGGTTCAAGTGATTCTCCTGCCCTCAGCCTCCCAAGTCGCTAGGATTACATGCGCCTGCCACCACACCCGGCTATCCTTGTGTTGTTTCTTACCTTGTCCTTGACCTGGGTTCCAGTGTTGGTTTCCTGTTGCTGCTGTAGAAAATTATCAGAAGCATGGCAGCAGGAGAGAGCACACTGACCCATTTCACTACTGGAGACAGAAATAGGACCCTGTTTTTCCTGGGCTAAAATCAAGGCATCTGCAGGGCTTCGTTCCCTCTGGAGACTCTGGAGAATCATTTCCTTGACTTTTCCAACCTCTACAGGCCACCTGCATTCATGGCTCCTGGCCTTCCTCCACCTTCAAAGCTGGTGGAGTCTCCCATTGCGCTGCTCTAATCCCCACTCCCCTCTTCCTCCTCCTTTCATGTGGACCCTTGTGATTACACTGAGCCCAGCGGGACAGTCCAGGCTGTCTCCCCATCTCAAGGTCAACTCATCAACAACCTGAGCTCCATCTTCCCCTTCAGTTCCTTCCCCTATAACATAAATAGTCACAGACTCCAGGGATTTGAATGTAGTCATCACTGGGGACAATTATTCTTCCCACCACAGCACCCATTTCCCTGTATTCAATCCCCCTTTACCCCAAATATAGTCAGGGCCTGGGTGATGGGACCCTCAAGGACACGCCCACCAGAAGCTCTGGGATTCAGGAGGTGGGAAAGGAGAATCCAAGACAGGAGCCCTCTGACCTGTGGCCATGATCACCAGGGTGTTGCTGGGTGCCGACCACCCACTGGGGTAGTGTGGGTGTGAACCCCGACATCTGTACGTCCCTGTGTGTGCTGGGGTCACAGGGCCCATGAAAAGGCTCTTCCAGAATATTCTGTTGTAGAGCTCAGTGCCAGGCACCCCATCTTCCTTTTACAGACTGAAGTTGTTAAACCCAAGATAAGAATGACACCGAAGAATCACATGTCCTGGAGGCACCACAGAGCTGGGCCAGGCAGACAGCAAGGGCTTGTCCTGACCACCTTGGGGAGAAGGAGGCACCGCCTTAGAGAGGAGGATGTGGAGCCACCCCTCCCTCCCTGTGCTCTGAAGATTCTCCTCGCTTTCCAAGTTTCTATGGCTGCTATCACACCTTGGTGCCCAGGGCTAAAGGAAGGACCCATCCCGCAAACACAAGGTGTCTCCCTACAACAAAAGTGTCAGCTGAGAACTTTGAGCAAGTGCTGAGTAAGAGACTCCTACTAGATTTTAATACTGTAAGATTACTCACATAAAACAACACAGGGTAGACATGGGGTGGAGGGCATGTCTTTGAGAATGGAATATCAGCAGATGCCTGAATGAAAATAAGCAACTGAGCCCCCATCAGAGGATTTGGAATGTCAGGGCCATGGCTGTGGTTTCCCACCTCTTCTGGTGGAGTGACAGCAGCCACACTGCAGCCCCTACCGTCATGGAAACGCTGAAGTGTGAGTAACACCTTTGTCCTCAGAGGATCTGCTGTTCCTACCACTTCCCCACCACGCACCCCAGCTTTGAGCACCCCAGTCTAACCCTGGTCCCCACAGAACTTGACTCTGCCAAGGGAATGAAAGGCCAGGGAGGCGAGGTCGGAACTGTGGGCCGAGCACCCCAGGGTCCCCTCTTCCTAGTTTATGAGAGGCTCCCTGACAGGACTTCCCTCCTGTTTCAGGAAAATCCTCTTATGTGGGGAGATGACACCCGAAGGTTTGGAGAAGGACTCACCCTCATGTGGCCAGGCCCCCTGCAGCAAGAAGAACCCTGGAAAGAAAGATCATGATGGACGATCCATCTGCAGGCAAACCAGGGCACCCTTGCTGCCCTCACTGGGCTGTGAGTCTTGGTAGGCAGGCCCTTCCTGGACTGAAGTTAAACTCACCCTCAGTGCCTACCTGCACCCAAGAACAGGGCTGTCGGCTGTGCAGAGACCCAGCCTCCAAGCCCAGATCCCCACCACAAGCCCATATCCCCACCACAAGCCCATATCTCCACTCCAGGCCAATATTTCCACCCTAGGCCTGTATCTCCACTCCAGGCCCATATCTCCACTCCAGGCCGATATTTCCATCATAGGCCCATATCGCCAATCCAGGCCCATATCGCCAATCCAGGCCAAGATCTCCACTGTAAGCCCATATCTCCAATCCAGGCCCATATCTCCACCCCAGGCTCAGATCTCCACCCTAGGCCCATATCTCCAATCCAGGCCCATATCTCCACACCAGGCCCATATCTCTACTGAAGGCCAGTAACTCCACCTCCAGGCCCATATCTCCACTCCAGGCCCAGATCTCCACCCCAAGCCCATATCTCCACCCCAGGCCCATATCTCTACTGAAGGCCCGTAACTCCACCTCCAGGCCCATATCTCCACCCCAGGCCCAGATCTCCACCCCAAGCCCATATCTCCACTCTAGGCCCATATCTCCTCTCCAGTCCCATATCTCCACAACCAGGCCCATATCTCCATCCTAGGCCCATATTTCCACTCTAGGCCCAGATATCCACCTCTAGGCCCATATCTCCACTCCTGGCCCAAATCTCCACTCCAGGCCCATATCTCTACTATAGGCCTATAACTCCACCTCCAGGCCCATGTCTCCACTCCAGGCTCCTATCTCCCCTCCAGGTTCCTATCGGCACTCCAGGCCCAGATCTCCACTTCTAGGCCCATCACTCCATCTCTAGGCCCATATATCCACTCCAGGCCCAGATCTCCACTCCAGGCCCACAACTCCACCTCCAGGCCTATATCTCCACCTCTGGGCCCAGATCTCCAACCCCACACTCCCTTCCTCTATTCCCTTCCAGGACTCACCAACACACGCCACGCTGACGACCGTGAGCGACATGGTGCTGCCGGTGCAGACAGGCGGCCGCGCCCCAGCTCAGCTCAGCAGCGCACAGGATGTTATTTGGCGCCCTGCCCATGCAGTTTACATGTTGACCACATCATGGGAGGGTGACGTACGCAGGCTCATTCTACCTTGCATGAGGCCCAGTGGGTGCTCGCTCAAGAGCGGAACACGGCTTCCTGGAAATTGTTCTCACTAGAATTTACACCTAGCGTCCTTCACTATGACCAACTCAAAAACGTCTCAGATCCAACCTCCTGAACACGAGATGCCTAAAATCTGTGCTAACGTGAAAGACTTTTCATGTATTTTTATTGTTTTTATCTGAGATTCAAACTCTTCTTCATGTGTAATATGCAAAATATCTAATAGGTATTATTAAGGTTTTCAGAGTCATTGTGACTAATAAACCATTAGAATTTTTCATGCTTGTATTTCTAGTATTACAGCAGAACCAGTTAAAATGATTTAAATTCCCAGGGAAGGATTATGCAATTATTTACAATCTTTGAATTGTACGTTATCAGCAAAAACCACACATTTAAACTCTGGATTTTTGTAGATTTATCTAAAATTTGTCTCATGACCCAAGTTTCCAGAGTCCCAACTCTGGAGTTTGTTCTCTCTCTGTCTCTCTGCCTCCCTCATTTTAAATTTTACAGAAATATCCAGTAACATAATGCTATAGAAAATCAAGTTTCCCCCAGCACGTCGGGAAGCCGAGGTGGGCGGATCAACTGATATAAGGAGTTTGAGAGCAGCCTGGCAACACAGTGAAACCGTGTCTCTGCTAAAAATCCAAAAATTAGCCGTGCCCAGTGGCAGGAACTTGTAACGCCAGCTACCCAAGAGGCTGAGGCACGAGAATCGCTTGAACCTGGGAGGCGGAGGTTGCAGTGAGCTGAGATTGCACCACTGCAGTCCAGCCTGGGCGACAGAGCAAGACTCTGCCTCAAGAAAAAAAAAAGCAAATAGCCTATAATAACAAATTAGAGGGCTCTGGCTACTAAATTTAAAGGGTTCTATAAGGCTACATAAAGTGTAGCATCATCAAGAGTGTGGACACAGACAGCCCCTTAGCAGAAACTGTCTAAAATACATCCATGTACACACAGTCCCTTTAGAGTTGACAAAGGCTGCCGTGTGGTTTAAGGTGGCATAGAATGTCTTCTCAATAAATAATATTAAACCAATGGGTTACACCTAGTAAAAAATAAATCTAACTCACACTATAAAAACACTTCTTAGTTTTTATCTAGTTGTACATTTTTTGATTTATATTTAAATTTGAGAAATAAAAGTCATATACGGTCATCCTTCACTATTCGTGGGTGATTGGTTTCGAGATCTCCACTCAGATACCAAAATCTGTAGATGCTCAAGCCTCTTATATGAAATGGCACAGCGCTTGCAAATAACATATGCACATCCTCCTGTATACATGAAATCATCTCTTGATTACTTATAATTCCTGATACAGCCTACACACAGCTTCATTTGTGTCCATTCAACATAGTTATGAGTTTTGGAACTCTGTGGATATTTTCTCTGAATATTTTTGATTTATACTTTGTTCAATAAAGACCTGTAAACCCCACAGATACGGAGGAGTGACCGTATATTTATAGTATGAAAGATGATGTGTTGATATGTGTCCCCATGGAGATGAGACTAACAAGGCCTATGACTCTACAAATGTTTCATTGTGGAATGACTCTGCCAGCTTTCCAGGTCTGCAGAGAGTAACAATGTCACTTGTTCATGTGATTCCCGATCCTTGGAACCTCCTATGTGCTGCATCTTTGGATGGAAATTGGAGTCCCAGAGACAAATGAGGCTCCACACTGCTTCCAGAAGCTCAGAGTCCAGAGGTGAGAACCCCGTGGAGAACAGATGGGATTATATGGACATGGTACTGATAACACCGGAAGCCTTAGGCAAGAAAAGAGTCCCATTACCTAAACCATGAGGGCAGACATGTTTATTTGAAGGAGGGAAAACTACATTGAAATTATTTTAAAAAATATATAAGTTTTACTGCTGACAGAAGGCTGAAAGCTAGTCTGAGGGGAGGTGGAACAGCATGAGGGAAGGTGGAACAGCACGTGTCTAAGTGCCGTGTTAAGAGGGAGCCTCTTGTATGTTTGGAATTGTGAGTTCCTCAGTGTGATTGCAGCCTCAAGTAGACTAGGAAGTAAGCCAGTTAGGTTGGAGAGGTGGGCAGGGGTCAAGTGAAATGGAGAATTGTGGGCTAAGCAAAGGAGTGTGTTTTCTCTCCAGCAGGCAGTGGGGACCTTAGACATTTGTAAGCAAGAGAGAGGCACGTTCAGATTTGTGGTGTGAGGAAGAGCGATGCCCTAAGATGCAGACTCACGCCTTCAGATTCCAGCTGCTGGTACATTGGAGCTGGCAACCCAGTTTTGAGACAGGGCTGTTGTCTCCCTAGAAGATCCCCTCAAGGCCTGACTGTGGTGCTCATGGGCAGGAGACAACTTTGGATCAGGGCTCAGCATTTGGAAGTTCCGTGTACACGATGATATCTGTTGGGGGTGTCTTGGGCCTCTGAGAAGGGTGAGTGATTTTTCTCTGTGTGAAAACGCAGTGATTCAACTGTGCATATGTCACCTCCTGAGGGTCTTGTTCATCAGAGTCCTGGAGAGAGGGAAATCCTGAGTGAGGGAGGGTGCTCACATTTTCCAGGACTCTTTGGGAATAACACTAGCCACGAGGCTGGGCCGAGGAGCACCTACCTCCCTGTTCACTGTTCTGTTCCCTGCAGGCTCTTGGTCCATTACAACAGCATCTGTAGAAGACGGAAGTCAACAAAACAGCTCAGAGGGCACTTCTGGGCCCTCATTTCATAAGCAGATACCAACATACAGGGGGAGACCATAGGAGCCTGAGGTCCCTCAGTTGCCAACAGCAGACTCAGACATTCTATCTCTCTGAGCTCAAGGACCCATCCCATGAATAGCTCTGAGTTCCCATCCCATTGATTCTGTCTCCCACTTTCTGCCTGTCATGGAACCTTCTCCTGGATGTGAGTGGCTGCAGGGGACATGAGGATACAGTTCAGAATCAGGCAATGGTCTGTGAGCTGAAGGCAGGGACAGGGAGTCTGGTGCTCTCTCTAGAAAGTCCTCCCTCTGTGGCTGCTGCCTTGGGCCAGGGACCATCCTGTCTGTGAGGAACACACACCTGAGTGCTCCCATCCTGCTTCCCCACATGGCCCTGAGCTCTCTGGCCTCTGCTTCGTGAGACTTACTTTTTTTGTTGCAGCACCAGCGATGAAGGAGAAAGAAGAGGAGGAGGATGAAGAGGATGATGACCACTGAGGTCCCAATCAGAACATGCAGGTGTCTGGGGTTACCTGGAAGAAGAGGAGACACCAATAAGAAGCTAATCATAGCAGTTCCTCTTTATGAATTGTCTCACATTTCTTGATTGACAGGTAACCACATACAACACCCCTTTAGGACAAGCACCCAGATGGAGGGAGACCCAGCTTTCTCCTGCTTTCTCAGTTATAGCTCTCATAGTAACCATAGAACGTGTTGAGGATACAACTACTTTAGTTGAGATGTTTGACCCCTTCAAACCTCACATTGAAATTTCACCCCCACTGTGGGAGGTTGGGCCTCTTGAGAGGTGTTTGGGTCATGGAGGTGGATCCATCATGAACAGACCAATGCTGTCCCAAGGAGACGGGGTTAGCAAGTTCCCCTTCTATTAGTTCCTGGAGAGCTGGTTGTTCAAAAGAGCTTGGAAGCTCCATCGCTCCCCCTCCCCCTTGCTCCCTCTCTTGCCGTGTGATCTCTGTGGTCTCTGCACAGACAGACCCTCCTTCCCTTCTGCCAGAGTGGGAGCAGCCTGAGGCCGTCACGAGAAATAGATGCTGGTGCCACGCTTCCAGTATAGCCTGCAGAACTGTGAGGCAAACCAATCTCTTTTCTCTAGAAGTTACCCAGGCTCAAGTGTTCCTTTAGAGCAACAAAAATGGACTAAGACAGCAACGTCCTGAGATCAGGAGGAACGTCTCAGAACAGCCTGGGCTGTCTTCCTGTTCTTCCTGGAGGAGGACGTCATGCAGTGCTTTAGCTGAGTGCTTCCTGTGGCTCCACAGTACAAAACCCAGGCTGGGCTGCTCTCTGGCTTCCCCCAGCTACACTGCAAATGGGGTGACTCCATATGTCCCGAGGAGCTTTTCTGAGCCTTGAGGGACTGGCTCACATTGAAATGTAGGTTTCTGTTGTCACTCGCTGCTTATCTGTTAGTAATGAACCTGCCTGTGTAATGTATTCTCTGTGTGTTCTGTCTCCCTGGAGTGACGGTGAGTGATAGGAATTGGCATAAGCCCAGGTGCAGTCCAGGAGGTATTTAGAGTCTTCTCTGGGAAGACTGCACTGGGATTGATACACAGCGAATGTGCTTTAGGATTTCTACATCCACAGCATTCTTGAATCAAACAACTTGCATTCTCCAAGAAAAGGAAACAAAAGTGAAATCAAGATAAAAAAAGCTAAGTAGAATTCTCTTATGTCAAATGGCCAGGAAATAGTGTTGAAGCCCGTGTGAAACGTGCTACTCTTTGTGATCTCGGGAGACACATGTTAGGCTGCTGTTCTACCTGAGAGGCTGGGGGAAGGACCACCCCCTCGGCCATCTATTGCTTCAATACCACCTGTCCTCCTGTGAATTAGTAGGAAAGGGGAGCAGGAGCTAGTGCTGGCACTGATCTCTGATTCCAAGATCTGGACTCACTCCAAGGAGTATCAATGTTTACCTCCCCATAGCCTATCTGAATCTCCACAGGTGATTGGAAGTAGGGGTGAGGTGGGGGATTTGGGTGAGTGGGCAAGTTTTTTGTTGCGATGAACAGAGCACTTTCTCTATTCCACGATCTGTGCTGGAGGATTCTGAGGGCTTTCACATTTTCTATGTGATCTCATTCTCACAGAAAGCCAAATAGGGAAGAGGTTTTAAGCTCATTGCCTAATGGATAAGATAAAGGATCAAAGAAGTAATTATAGAGAAATAGAAAAACGATGATTGGAATTCAGGTGCCTTTGTCATTCGTGTGTGTTTTATTATATTTATGTATTTCTTATTTTTATTTTTTGAGATAGAGTCTCCTTGTGTCCCCCAGGCTGGAGTGCAGTGATGCAATCTCCACTCACTGCAACCTCCACCTACTGGGTTGAAGTCGTTCTCCTGCTTCATCCTCCAGAATAGGAGCTGGGATTACAGGGATGCACCATCGTGCTCGGCTAATTTTTGTATTTTTAGTAGAGATAGGGTTTCACCACGTTGGCCAGGCTGGTCTGGAACTCCTGACTTCATGGAATCCACCCACCTTGGCCTCCTGCAGTGCTAGGTTACAGGCGTGAGCCACTGTTCACAGACTTGTATATTATGCTATAATAAGTCTCTTCATTTCCACCACCACTCATATATCTGTCACTCCTTTGCCAGGTATTGATTTATGTGTAGGATGAATAAATCTCAGAAAGAAATTAATTAAGCGAGGATTAAACAAGTAGGAAAATCAAACCCAGTAAGCCTTTCCAGTCAACGATTCTACCTCACAAACATATCTTATATCCATCTACTTCATTCATTTAGTGTCTAAATCAGCACCACATTTCACCAGTGGGGCGGCAATTGCCTTTTCCACGGTCTCCTAGATTCCAGTTATGCAACTGAGCCTCCCTTATTTTCATGTCCGTCATATTAATCATGTAGGGATTCCTGGTTACCCCGAGGTGAATCCAATGGCTGTGAGTGTCAAACACACACTCCTTGTTGCTCCTTAGTTTCCTGTGTACCCAGTGTGCTCTCCGTCTCCCTACAGTCGTCTTGTCATTCTCCCCACCTCATTCCCAGCATTTGAGGCAGAGCCTCTTCCTTCCACATCAGATTGTTTTCACCTTTGTGCCTTCACGGCTGACAGCTGTGTGTGCAAAATCCTTCCGCCAATCTTTCAGGGGTTCAATCCGTGTTTTTCATTAATGTCACAAATATCTGAATAGAGAGACCTTCTTTGTCACCTGAAATCATACACTCAGCATTATCTATTATTGATTTTGAATTCTGGCTGGGCACAGTGGCTCACGCCTGTAGTCCCATTACTTTGGCATGCTGAGACGGTCGGATCACTTGAGGTTGGGAGTTTCAGACAAGCTTGGCCAACGTGGTGAAACATCCTTTCTACAAAAAATATACAAAAAGAATTAGCCGGGCACGGTGGCAGTTGCCTGTAATCCCAGCTACTCGAGAGGCGGAGGCAGGAGAATCACTTGAATCCAGGAGACGCAGGTTGCAGTGAGCCAAGATCGTGACACTGCACTGTAGCCTGGAAGACAGAGGGCGACTCTGTCTCAATAAACAAAAGAACAAACAAAAAATAGATTTCATGCACAGATGCTTCCCAATGGATCATTCATTTATAGATCCACTTGTGCATTCATTTTCTGCCCTCCCATTTAACCATCTGCAATATCAGTGTCCCAAGGGCAGAGGCCAAATGCATCTTGTTCACCGTTTGTGGAAGGCAGGAGAATGCTGTCCCACCCCAAAATGTCCCTGTCCTAGCCTCCATAGCTTGTGAATATGTTATTTTACATGGAAAGGAGGAATGAAGATTGTAGATGGAATTGCGGTTGCTAATCAGCTGAACTTAAAACAAGGGTATCCTGGATGATTTCCAGGAGATTATGAGGGATTTTCATCTTGGTGAACCCAATAGAATCCCCAAGTTTTCAAAAGATAAGGAAGAAGGGAGAGCAGCATTCAGAGAAAGAGGTGTGGTAAGGAAGAAGGCACTGAGTGATGCCATGTGAGATGTGACCAGTCTTTGTGGGCTTTGAGGAAGGAGGAAGGGGAACAGGAGCCAAGGAACTGGGAGCCTTTAGAAGCTGGGATAAGTGAGAAGCAGATTCTTGCCTGGAATCCTCAGAGGGAAGGCAGCCTTGCTGTCACCTTGATTTTAGCCCAGTAAGATGCACTTCCTACTTTGAGCTACAGCACTGTAAGATAATTAAAAAACCGTTTTGTTTTCACCCACGAATCTTGTGGAAATTTGTTATGGCAACAATAGGAAAAGGTTCCGCACTGCACAGCCTGAGCATGGGGCCGTGGCTGAATGAGTCAGTGAGTCGAAGTGTGCGTGCATGAGCTCCGTTCTCTGTTACGGCAAGGCTGTTGCTCTGCTGAGTCAGCCAGGGTTGCTTCATGACCAACAGTAATTCATTCCTTGGCAAGTGGAACTTCTCTAAAACACCTCGCCCTCATCAGATGTTCCCTTCCCTTCCCTCTCTCAAGCCCCCAGGAATTTATCCTCCAGTTAGGAATGCAGGCAGAACAAACATTGCATTTTTCCTGAGAAGGATGTCAGATTGGCAATCATTCTTCTAGCTTGTAGGAGATCTCAGCTCCATAAAATGAGAGATTAAGAGATTTCACTGAGCCCTAGGTTGGGCCCAGATCCCTTTCGCTGTTGGAGTATCTGGAGTTCGGAGATGGTAGAAGACAGGCGTACAATGTCAGAGCTGCGAGATGCTGAGTCAATGCCTGCATCGAAGGTTTCTACCTCCCCAGGTTTCCAAAAGCGGATATAAGAGGGTTCTGTACTCACCGGTTTCGGAGCTTGGTTCAGTGGGTGAAAGCCAACTATTTGAAGGGTTTCCTAGAACATGAGACAGGAGAGAGGTGAGGAAATGAGGGTGTCTGTCCTCTACTCAATGGAAATCTTTGAGGTTGGTTCATGGCCAACACTCTGTTATCTAATATTGGGCCCTGGGAGTCCTGGGATCCTTTTTTCCGTAATTTTTGTATGTGACGCCCACTGTCTTGAGACTTCAAGGTATAAAGAGAAAACAGGAGCATCACACTACCTGATCTCAAAATATGTTACAGAGCTGTAGTAAGCAAAACAGCATCACATTGGCATAAAGAAAGGCACGTAGAACAATGGAGCAGAATGAAGAACACAGATATAATCCATGCATTTACCTCCAATGTTTTTTTCTTTTTTCTTTTGAGATGGAGTCTCGCTCTGTCGCCCAGGCTGGAGTGCAGAGGTGCAATCTCGGTTCACTGCCACCACAGCCTCCTGGGTTCAATCAATTCTCTGGCCTCAAACTCCTGAGTAGTGGTATTACAGGTGCTGACCACCATGCTCAGCTAATTTTTATATTTTTAGTGGAGACAATGTTTCATCACGTCGGCCAGACTAATCTTGAACTCCTGGCCTCAGGTGATCCACCCGCCTTGGGCTCCCAAAGTGCTGAAATTGCAGGTGTCAGCCACCATGCCCAGCCCATCCAATGGACTTTGACAAAGGTGCCAAGAACTCACAATCAGGAAAGGACAGTCTTTTCAATAAACAGTGCAGGGAAACCTGGACATCTACATGCAGAGGAATGAAACTGCACCTCTACCTGTCACTATACACAAAACTCAAATGAAAATGGATTAAAGATGTGAGTCTAAGGCCTGAACCTATGAAACACGTAGAAGAAAATATTGGGGAAATGCTCCAGGACATTTGTCTGAAGGAAGACATTTTGTTTTAAACCTTCAAAACACAAGTAATCGAAGCAAAAATAGACCATTGGGATTACCTCAAACTAAGCAACTTCTGCACCGCTAAAAATAAACCAACAAAGTGAAGAGACAACCCACAGATTGGGAGCAAATATGTGCAAACTATGCATCTGAGATGGGATTAATAACTAGAAATATAAGAAGCTCAAACAACTCAATAAAACAAATGATTTAATTGAAAAAGGAGCAAAACACATGAAATTTCCCCACATACTAAAAAGTGCTCAGTTTCACTCATCATCAGAGAAACACAAATTAAAATCAAAGTGAGTTTTCATCTCACCCCATTAAAATGGATTTTAGGCCGGGCGTGGTGGCTCACGTCTGTCATCCTAGACCTTTGAGAGCCTGAGGTGGGTGAATCTCATAAGGTCGGGAGTTTGAGACCAGTCTGACCCACATGGAGAAACACTGTCTCTACTAAAAATACAAAATTTAGTTGGGCGTGGTGGCGTGTGCCTGTAATTCCAGCTACTCGGGAGGCTGAGGCAGGAGAATCGCTTGAACCTGGGAGGTGGAGGTTGTGGTGAGCCGAGATCGCACCACTGCACTCCAGCCTGGGTGACAAGAGCGAAACTCCATCTCAAAATAAAATGAAATAAAATAAAATGGCTTTTAGCTGCAAGACAGGCAAAGGAAATCCTGCCAAAGTGGTAGAGAAAGGAGAACCCTAATACCCTGTTGGTAGGAGTGTAAATTAGTACAGCCTTTACGGAGAAAAGTGTGGAAGTCCTTTAAAGAACTAAAAAGAGGTTGGGTGAGGTGGATCATGCCTGTAATCCCGGCACTTTGGGAGACCGAGGCGGGCACCTCAGTTGAGGTCATGAGTTTGAGAGCAGCCCAGCCAACATGGGGAAACCGCATCTATACTAAAAAAAACAAAAAGTAGCCAGGCATGGTGGCGTGCACCTGTAATCCCAGCTACTAGGGAGGCTGAGGCAGGAAAATCATTTGAACCCAGGAGGCGGAGGTTGCAATGAGCCAAGATGACTTCACTTGTACTCCAGCCTGGGCACAGAGGGAAACTGTCTCAAAAACAAAAACAAAACAACAAACGAATAACTAAAAAGAGAACTTTCATAGTATCCAGCAATTTCACTACTGGGTTTATATCCAAAGGAAAGTAAATCAATATATCGAAGTGATATCTGCACTCGTATGATTGGTGCAGCACTGTTCACAGTAGCCAAGATGTGGAGTCAACCTACCTGCCCATCAGTGGATGAATGGATAGAGAGAATGTAGTACATACGCACAGTGGAGACTACTCATCCATAGAAAGAATAACATCCTGATATTTGCAGCCACATGGATGGAACTGGAAGTCATTACAAAGATTCCCATTTCTCACCCATATACAGAGCTAAAAGGTGGATCTCATGAAGGTAGAGAGTAGAATGGTGGCTTCCAGAGGCCAGGAATAAAAGGGTGGAGGGTNNAAAAAAAAAAAAAAAAAAAAAAAAAAAAATATATATATATATATATATATATATATATATATGTATATATGTGTGTGTGTGTGTATATATATATATATATATATATATATATATATATATATATATAAATGTATTTATGACCACTAGACTTTACACTTAAAAATGGTAAATGTGGCTGGGCGTGGTGGCTCATGCCTGTAATCCCAGCACTTTGGGAGGCAGATGCGGGTGGATCACGTGGTCAGGAGTTGGAGACCAGCTCGACCAACATGGTGAAACCCCCTCTCTACTAAAAATACAAAAAGTAGCCTGGCGTGGTGGTGCGCGCCTGTAGCACCAGCTACTCAGGTGGCTGAGGCAGGAGAATCACTTGAACCCAGGAGGCGGAAGTTGCAGTGAGCTGAGATTGTGCCACTGCACTCCAGCATAGGGGACAGAGCTAGACTCTGCCTCAAAAAAAAAAAAAATGTTAAAGGTGGTAAGCTATATAGGTATATTTATCCTCAATAAATATTTCTTCAAACAAAAGTAAAGGGTGTAGGGGTTGCTGGTGATGACATCCCTGTGTGGGTGAGAGGCCAGGATGGGCTTCTGGGAAATGGGTAATGTTGAGGGGCTGAGGGAACCTCTGATCTTCCCAAACTGAGCCCAGTCTCTCTCCTCTGCGTCTCTCCTGACCGTTTTCTCCATCTGCCTGTGTGCCTGGAGCCCTGGCCGCGGGCCTTCATGCAGGCCGTGTAGGAGGGTTTGGAGGTGCCCTGTCTGCCATCCTGTGCCCTGATCCCTCCCTCACACCCAAGCTTCGTCTTCTCTCTGCATCTGTCCATGCTTCTCTCCATCATCAGCAGGAAGCTCCTCAGCTAAGGCTCTAGGATCATAGGACATGAGACAGATATGGGGTTTCCTCACCTGTGACAGAAACAAGCAGTGGGTCACTCGAGTTTGACCACTCGTATGGAGAGTCACGGAAAGAGCCGAAGCATCTGTAGGTTCCTCCGTGGGTGGCAGGGCCCAGAGGAAAGTCGGCCTGGAATGTTCCGTTGACCTTGGGCCCTGCAGAGAACCTACGTTCATGGGCCTCCCCCTCCCTGGATAGATGGTACATGTCATAGGAGCTCCGGGAGCTGCAGGACAAGGTCACGCTCTCTCCTGCCAGAACCGTGGGGCCCGGCTGGGCTGAGAGAGAAGGTTTCTCATATAGACCTGGAGGAGAAGAGGCATTTTCCTTACGGAGGATCTTCCTTGTCACAGCTCCCTTCACCTGAGCTGAGAACTCACTCCCCTGCTCTATGACCTAATGCTCTCTCTCTCTCTCTCTCACCCTCCACCCCATCTCTCTTCATGTCTATTTCCTTCTTCCACCTTCTCTGTCTCTCTAGGTCTCTGACCTCGCTTCCCCACCTCTAGATATGTTTTCCCTTTTTGGATTCTTTTATTCTCTCTGACTCTCCTTGGATTGGTTGACTTGATGTTACTTTTTTAAATTCTAAGTTTCTCACGTTGTGTCCTGTTCATAACTTTCTGCATATTTCTATCTATTATCTGTCGATCTATCTATTTATCTATTCGGTGTCTATCTACAGATTCTCTACCTGTCATCTATATCTATATATCATCTATGTATCTATCACTTGTCTATCTATCCATCAATCATCTGTTATTTATATGTATGTATCATCTCTCTCTCTATGATTTCTGTCTGCCTCTCTATCTGTACGTATTATCTGTCTTCATCATCATCATCTCTATGTATTATCTATTAATGAATCAATCAATCATCATCTATGTATCTTTAACCTATTATCTATCATCTACCTATTTATCATCTATCTATATCTATCCATCTATCATCTGTCTTGCTCTGCCTCTCGGTCTCTCTAGCTCTCTTTGGAATCTCTGCAATTCATCCCCACATCTCCATGTTTCTATGTCCTTGTGCCTCTCTCTCAGGACTCTAATTTTAGTGCTTTTCTCTGCTCCCTGCCATCATTCTCACCACTCCTCTGCCCTCTTTTCTCTCTCTTTATGTGTCTGTGAGTCTCTCAATCTCCTTCCTCTGGCTCATTCTCTGTGTGTTTATGTCTTTGCTTTTTGGTGTTCCTGATTTTTCTCTGTGCCTCTCAGTGATCCTTTCATATGTGGGGTTATTTGGAATGTGAGCCACAGAATCCAGTCTGGAGACCACAAGTTCACACAGCATACAGGGGTTGGTGTTCTGGGGCCATGATATCCTGGGACGATTACTCTCCATTACATGGAAGGCAGAGGTGTCAGAATAAACATGGCCTGTAGGTGCCACAAGGCCTGAGGCCACAGGGCCCAACTCAGGTCATAAATATGGGTGTCCTTGGGTTCTCCTGGTAGAGAACACTTTGTGGAGGTAAAACAGAAATGAAACTTCTAACCTGTGCCAGGTCTGTGAGCAAAGTCAGCATGGAGGGACACCTCTCTCTGGGACATGTCTGTCTGTCTGTCTCTTTTAACTCTTTCTGTCTTTTCTAACTCCCTGTATGGCCCCTGTGTCTGTCCTCTGTTATGACACCTGGTCTGTACTTGTGTCTCCTGTTTCTCTGTCTCTGTTGGTACAAACCTCAGCAAGTCAGTCTCTCTCCATAAGAATACCAAGCTCATCTTCCTTACAACTACCTGGGGGTTCCAAGTCGTGGATCATTCACTCTGCATCCCAATGACAATGAGAATGTCCGGACACTCTCACCTGTGATGACGATGTCCAGAGGGTCACTGGGAGCTGACAACTGATAGGGGGAGTGAGTAACAGAACCGTAGCATCTGTAGGTCCCTGCAAGGTCTTGCATCATGGGACCGATGGAGAAGTTGGCCTTGGAGACCCCATCATGGTGCTCTCCAATGAGGTGCAAAGTGTCCTTAAACTTCCCTTCTCTGTGCAGAAGGAAGTGCTGAAACCTGACATCTGACCAACATTGCAGGATGACTGTCTCTTCTGATTTCACCAGGGGACCTGGGTGGGCCAGGAGGGAAGGTTTTCTGTGGACTCCTAGGAAGAGAGGTTGTGAGTTTAGAAGGTGTCTCTCTTTATCATCCCATCCATGGCACCTAGAATGAGTGAGGCTTCCCCTTGCTGGTGTCTGTCTCTCTCCTTCCTCTCTGTGTCTTCATGTTCTTTTCTGTGCCCTTAACTCCTGGTGCAGGTCCTTCCATCTGTCTCCCTCCCTCTTCTCTGTCCCTCTGTCTCTAGTAGCCTCTGATTCCCTTCCCACTGGGCTTAGCCTCATCTCTTGGGGTGTTGTATCTATTTCACACTAATGTATTTCCTGCTGTTTATGTGGGGGTGAAAGAGGAACCAGGATAGGCTGCACATCCAGGCTCTTATCAGCCTGGTTCAATCTCTTTTGGATGAATTGCAATCCTTGGCAGAAGGTATGAACTGATGAATAAGGCAGGCACCAGTGTCCACACACCCTGTTCCTGGTGGGGACTGGGAGCCACTCTTGCCATGCCTGTGCCTTCTCCATGGTGCCAGCTTCCATAGGCTGGCTCCTGGTGCTGGTTGGAGGAGTATCAACCCCTCCCTATGTGGATGGAGCCTGGTGGTGGCATCATCATCCCACCCTTGCTGATCTCAGGGTAGCCAACCTTCTCCTTGTTTGGTTTCTTTAATTAATTAATTAATTTTGGAGACAGAGTCTCACTCCTTCACCCAGGCTGGAGTGAAGTGGTGTGGTCTAGGCTCACTGCAACCTCTGTCTCCTGGGTTCAAGTGATTCTCCTGCCCTCAGCCTCCTGAGTCGCTAGGATTACATGCACCTGCCACCATGCCTGGCTTTCCTTGGGTTGTTTCTTAACTTGTCCTTGACCTGGGTTCCAGTGTTGGTTTCCTGTTGCTGCTGTAGAAAATTATCAGAAGCATGGCAGCAGGAGAGACCACACTGACACCTTCCAGTACTGGAGACAGAAATTGGACCCTATTTTTCCTGGGCTAAAATCAAGGCATCTGCAGGGCTTTGTTCCCTCTGGAGACTCTGGAGAATCAGTTCCTTGACTTTTCCAGCCTCTATAGGCCACCTGCATTCATGGCTCTTGGCCTTCCTCCACCTTCAAAGCTGGTGAAGACTTCCACTGGACTGCTCTAATCCCCACTCCCCTCTTCCTCCTCCTTTCATGTGCACCCTTGTGATTACACTGAGCCCAGTGGGACAGTCCAGGCTGTCTCCCCATGAGCTCCATCTTCCCCTTCAGTCCCTTCCCCTATAACATAAATAGTCACAGACTCCAGGGATTAGAATGTAGTCATCACTGGGGACAATTATTCTTCCCACCACAGCACCCATTTCCCTGTATTCAATCCCCCTTTACCACAAATACAGTCAGGGCCTGCGTGATGGGACCCTCAAGGACATGCCCACCAGAAGCTCTGGGATTCAGGAGGTGGGACAAGGAGAATCCAAGACAGGAGCCCTCTGACCTATGACCACGATCACCAGGGGGTTGCTGGGTGCTGACCACCCACTGGGGGAGTGTGTGTGTGAACCCCGACATCTGTATGTCCCTGTGTGTGCGGGGGTCACAGGGCCCATGAAAAGGCTGTTCCAGAATATTCTGTTGTAGAGCTCAGGGACAGGCACCCCACCTTCCTTGTACAGACTGAAGTTGTTAAACCCAAGATAAGAGTGACACCGAAGAATGACATGTCCTAGAGGCACCACAAGGCTGGGCCAGGCAGACAGCAAGGGCTTGTCCTGACCACCTTGGGGAGAAGGAGGCGCCGCCTTAGAGAGGAGGATGTGGAACTGCCCTTCCCTCCCTGTGCTCAGAAGATTCTCCTCGCTTTCCACGTTTCTATGGCTACTATCACACCTTGGTGCCCAGGGCTGAAGGAAGGACCCATCCCGCAAAGACATGGTGTCTCCCTACAACAAAAGCCTCAGCTGAGAACTTTGAGCAAGTGCTGAGTAAAGAGACTCCTACTAGATTTTAATACTGTAAGATTACTCACATAAAACAACACAGGGTAGACATGAGGTGGAGGGCATGTCCTTTGTGAATGGATATCAGCGGATGCCTGAACGAAAATAAACAACTGAGCCCCCATCAGAGGATTTGGAATGTCAGGGCCATGGCTGTGGTTTCCCACCTCTTCTGGTAGAATGACAGCAGCCACACTGCAGCCCCTACCATCATGGAAACGCTGAAGTGTGTGAGTAACACCTTTGTCCTCAGAGGATCTGCTGTTCCTACCACTTCCCAACCACACACCCCAGCTTTGAGCACCCCAGTCTAACCCTGGTCC
The DNA here is from genome assembly GCF_000001405.40 of Homo sapiens. Taxonomy (NCBI): domain Eukaryota; kingdom Metazoa; phylum Chordata; class Mammalia; order Primates; family Hominidae; genus Homo; species Homo sapiens. The sequence continues at coordinate 41,347 of NW_016107301.1, read as the reverse complement.
CCACAGAACTTGACTCTGCCAAGGGGTTGAGAGGCCAGGGAGGCGAGGTCAGAAATGTGGGCTGAGCACCCCAGGGTCCTCTCTTCCTAGTTTATGAGAGACTCCCCGACAGGACTTCCCTCCTGTTTCAGGAAAATCCTCTTATGTGGGGAGATGACACCCGAAGGTTTGGAGAAGGACTCACCCTCATGTGGCCAGGCCCCCTGCAGCAAGAAGAACCCTGGAAAGAAAGATCATGATGGACCATCCATCTGCAGGCAAACCAGGCCTCCCTTGCTGCCCCCACTGGGCTGTGAGTCTTGGCAGCCAGGCCCTTCCTGGGCTGAAGTTAAACTCACCCTCAGTGCCTACCTGCACCCAAGAACAGGGCTGTCGGCTGTGCAGAGACCCAGTTTCCAGGCCCATATCCCCACCCCAAGCCCATATCTCCACTCCAGGCTGATATTTCCACCCTAGGCCCATATCGCCAATCCAGGCTCAGATCTCCACCCTAGGCCCCTATCTCCAATCCAGTCCCATATCTCCGCCCCAGGCCCAGATCTCCACCCTAAGCCCATATCTCCACTCCAGGCCCATATCACCTCTCCAGTCCCATATCTCCACACCCAGGCCCATATCTCCTTCCTAGGCCCATATCTCCACTCCAGGCCCAGATATCCACCTCTAGGCCCATAACTCCACTCCTGGCCCATATCTCCACTCCAGGCCCATATCTCTACTGCAGGCCCGTATCTCCACCTCCAGACCCATATCTCCACTCCAGGCCCATATCTCCACCTCCAGGCCCATATCTCCACCTCCAGGCCCATATCTCCACTCCAGGCCCATATCTCCACTCCAGGCCCATATCTCCACTCCAGGCCCCTATCTCTACTGCAGGCCCATATCTCCATCTCCAGGCCCATATCTCCATCTCCAGGCCCATGTCTCCACTACAAGCCCATATCTCTACTGCAGGCCCATATCTCAACCTCCAGGCCCATATCTCCACTCCAGGCCCAGATCTCCACTCCAGGCCCAGATCTCCACTTCTAGGCCCATCACTCCATCTCTAGGCCCATAACTCCACTTCCAGGCCTATATCTCCAACTCTGGGCCCCGATCTCCATCCCCGCACTCCCTCCCTCGATGCCCTTCCAGGACTCACCAACACACACCATGCTGACGACCATGAGCGACATGGTGCTGTCTGTGCAGACAGGCGGCCGCGCCCCAGCTCAGCTCAGCAGCGCACAGGATGTTATTTGGCGCCCTGCCCATGCAGTTTACATGTTGACCACATCATGGGAGGGTGACGTACGCAGGCTCTTTCTACCTTGCATGAGGCCCAGTGGGTGCTCGCTCAAGAGCGGAACATGGCTTCCTGGAAATTGTTCTCACTAGAATTGACACCTTGCGTCCTTCACTACGACCAGACTCAAAAGACGTCTCAGATCCAACCTCTCATACACGAGATGATTGAATTCTGTGCTTACATTAAAGATTTTTGATGTATTTTTGTTTTTATCTGAGATTCAAACTCTTCTTCATATGTAATGTGCAAAATGTCTAACAGGTATTATTAACATTATCAGAGTAATTGTGACAAGAAGCCATTCTAATTTTCCTGCTTGAGTTTCTACTACTAAACCAGAGGCATCAGAATAGCTTGAACCTGGGAGACGGAGGTTGCAGTGAGCTGAGCTCAAGCCACTGAACTCCAGCTTGGGTGACAGAGGAAGAGTCTGTCTCAAGAAAAAAAAAAAAAGCAAACTAAATAACCTATAATAACAAATCAGAGGACTCAGGTTACCAAATTTTAAGGGGTTCTATAAGTTTATATAAAATGCAGCATCCTCATGAGAGGGGATACAGAGAACCACTGGACAGAAAACTGTGTCTAAAATACATCTGTGGATACACAGTCCCTTTATAGTTGACAAAGGCTGCCATGTAGTTTAAGGTGGAATAGAATATTTTCTCAACAAATAACACAGGACCATAGGGTTACACGTAGGAAAAAATAAATCTAAACTTATCCTCACACTATAAAAACACTTCTTATTTTTTATCTTGTTGTTGTAAATTTTTTATGCTTTATTTTTAAGATTGACAAATAAAAATTATATACCATGGTCCTTCACTATACCTGGGTGATTGGTTCCAGGATCCCCATTCAGATACCAAAATCTGCAGATGCTCAAGCCCCTTGCATGAAATGGCATAGTGAAGCTGGGCACCGTGGCTCACGCCTGTAATCCCAGCACTTTGGGAGGCTGAGCTGGGTAGATCACAAGGTCAGGAGTTCAAGACCAGCTGGTCCAACATTCTGAAACCCCATCTCTACTAAAAATATACACACAAAAAAATTTATCTGTGCAGGGTGGCACGTGCCTGTAATCCTAGGGGAGGCTACTGGGGAGGCTGAGGGAAGAGAATCGCTTGAACCTGGAAGGCGGAGGTTGCAGTGAGTTGAGATCACGCCACTGCACTCCAGCCTGGGTGAGAGAGTGAGACTGTCTCAAAAAAAAAAAAAAAATAGCATAGCAATTGCATAGAACCCATGCACATCCTCCTGTATACATGAAATCATCTCTTGATTACTTATAATTCCTGACACAGCCTACACGCCACTCAATTTGTGTCGATTCAACATAGTTTTTTGCTTTTTGAAACTTCGGGGATTTTTTTTCTCAAAATATTTTTGATTTATTGCTGATTCAATAAACATGTGTAAACCCCAGAGATATGGAGGAGTGACTGTCTATTTATAGTAGTATGAAAGATGATGTGTTGATACGTGTCCCTGTGGAGATGAGACTAACAAGGCCTATGACTCTACAAATGTTTCATCGTGGAATGACTCTGCCAGCTTTCCAGATCTGCAGAGAGTAAGAATATCACTTGTTCATCTGATTCACCATCCTTGGAACCTCCTATGTGCTGCATCTTTGGATGGAAATTGGAGTCTCAGAGACAATTCAGGCTCCACCATGCTTCCAGAAGCTCAGAGTCCAGGGCTGAGAACCCAGCGGAGAACAGATGGGGTTATGTGGACGTGGTAATGATAACACCGGAAGCCTTAGGCAAGAAAAGAGTCCCATTGAAGAAACCATGAGGGCAGACATGTTTACTTGAAGAATAGAAAACTACATTGAAATTATAAAAAAAATTTATAAGTTTTACTGCTGACAGAAGGCTGAAAGATACTCTGAGGAAAGGTGGAATAGCACGTATCTAAGTGCCGTGTTAAGAGGGAGCCTCTTATATGTTTGGAATTGTGAGTTCCTCAGTGTGATCGCAGCCTCAAGTAGACTAGGAAGTAAGCCAGTTAGGTTGGAGAGGTGGGCAGGGGTCAAGTGAAATGGAGAATTGTGGGCTAAGCAAGTGTGTTTTCTCTCCAGCAGGCAGTGGGGACCTTAGACATTTGTAAGCAAGAGAGAGGCATGTTCAGATTCGTGGTGTGAGGAAGAGCGATGCCCTAAGATGCAGACTCACGCCTTCAGAGTCCAGCTGCTGGTACATGGGAGCTGGCAACCCGGTTTTGAGACAGGGCTATTGTCTCCCTAGAAGATCCCATCAAGGCCTGACTGTGGTGCTAGTGGACAGAAGACAACTTTGGATCTGCGCTCAGCATTTGGAAGTTCCGTGTTACACGCTGGTATCTGTTGGGGGTGTCTTGGGCCTCTGAGAAGGGCGAGTGATTTTTCTCTGTGTGAAAACGCAGTGATTCAACTGTGCGTATGTCACCTCCTGAGGGTCTTGTTCATCAGAGTCCTGGAGGGAGGGAAATGCTGAGTGAGGGAGGGTGCTCACATTTTCCAGGACTCTTTGGGAATAAGACTAGCCACGAGGCTGGGCGGAGGAGCACCTACCTCCCTGTTCACTGTTCTGTTCCCTGCAGGCTCCTGGTCCATTACAACAGCATCTGTAGAAGACGGAAGTCGTCAAAACAGCTCGGAGGGCACTTCTGGGTCCTCATTTCATAAGCAGATACCAACATACAGGGGGAGGCCATAGGTGCCTGAGGTCCCTCAGTTGCCAACAGCAGACTCAGACATTCTATCTCTCTGAGCTCAAGGATCCATCCCATGTATAGCTCTGAGTTCCCATCCTATTGATTCTGTGTCCCACTTTCTGCCTGTCATGGAACCTTCTCCTGGATGTGAGTGGCTGCAGGGGATGTGAGGATACGGTTCAGAATCAGGCAATGGTCTGTGAGCTGAAGGCAGAGGCAGGGAGTCTGGTGCTCTCTCTAGAAAGTCCTGCCTCTGTGGCTCCTGCCTTGGGCCAGGGACCATCCAGTCTGTGAGGAACTCACACCTGAGTGCTCCCATCCTGCTTCCCCACATGGCCCTGAGCTCTCTGGCTTCTGCTTCGTGAGACTTACTCTTTTTGTTGGCACACCAGCGATGAAGGAGAAAGAAGAGGAGGATAGCAAAGGGGATGATGACCACTGAGGTCCCAATCAGAACGTGCAGGTTTCTGGAGTTACCTGGAGGAAGACAAGACACCAATAAGAAGCTAATCATAGCAGTTCCTCTATATGAATTGTCTCACATTTCTTGATTGACAGGTAACCACATACAACGTCTCTTTAGGACAAGCACCCAGATGGCGGGAGACCTAGCTTCCTCCTGCTTTCTCAGTTGTAGTAACCATAGAACGTGCTGAGGATACAACTGCTTTAGTTTAGATGTTTGACCCCTTCAAACCTCACATTGAAATGTAACCCCCAGAGTGGGAGGTTGGGCCTCTTGGGAGTTGTTTGGGTCATGGAGGTGGATCCATCATGAACAGATCAATGCTGTTCCAAGGAGACGGGGTTAGCAAGTTCCCCCTCTATTAGTTCCTGGAGAACTGGTTGTTAAAAGAGCTTGGAAGCTCCATCGCTCCCCCTCCCCCTTGGTCCCTCTCTTGCCGTGTGATCTCTGTGGTCTCTGCACAGACAGACCCTCCTTCCCTTCTGCCAGAGTGGGAGCAGCCTGAGGCCGTCACAAGAAATAGATGCTGGTGCCATGCTTCCAGTACAGCCTGCAGAACTGTGAGGCAAACACATTTCTTGTCTTTAGAAGTTACCCAGGCTCAAGTGTTCCTTTAGAGCAACAAAAATGGACTAAGACAGCAACGTCCTGAGATCAGGAGGAACATCCCAGAACAGCCTGGGCTGTCTTCCTGTTCTTCCTGGAGGAGGACGTCATGCAGTGCTTTAGCTGAGTGCTTCCTGTGGCTCCAGGGTACAAAACCCAGGCTGGGCTGCTTTTTGATTTCCCCCAGATACACTGCATATGGGGTGACTCCACATGTCTCGAGCAGCTTTTCTGAGCCTTGAGGGACTGGCTCACATTGAAATGTAGGTTTCTGTTGTCACTCGCTGCTTATCTGTTAGTAATGAACCTGCCTGTGTAATGTGTTCTCTGTGTGTTCTGTCTCCCTGGAGTGACGGTGAGTGATAGGAATTGGTATAGGCCCAGGTGCATTCCAGGAGGTGTTTAGAATCTTCTCTGGGAAGACTGGATTGGGATTGATACACAGCGAATGTGCTTTACAGTTTCTACCACCACAACCCTCTTGACTCAAAAAAATTACATTCTCCAAGAAAAGAAAGAAAAAATGAAATCAAGATAAAAAAAGTGAAGTAGAACTGACTTAAATCAAACAGCCATGAAATAATGATGTAGCCCAGGAACAACATGCTACTTTTTGTGATCTGCTGAGACATATATTAGGCTGCTATTCCACCCGAGAAGCACGGGGAAGGACCGCCCTCTCCGTCGTTTATTGTTTCAATACAGCCTGTCCTTCTGTGAGTTAGTACGAAATGTGACCAGGGGCTAGTGCTGGCACTGGTCTCTGAGTCCAAGATCTGAGCTCACTCCAAAGAGTATTAGTGTTTACCTCCCCATGATCTATCTGTATCTCCATAGGTGATTGGAAGTAGAGATGAATTGGGGGATTTGGGTGAAGGGGCAAGTTTTATGCCATGAACAGAGCACGTTCTCTATTCCAGGACCTGTGCTGGTGGGTTCAGGAGGCTTTCACATTTTCCATATGATCCCAAGCTCACAGAAAGCCAAATAAGGAAGAGGTTTAACCTGATTGTTTAATGGATAAGATAAAGGGTCAAAGAATTAAACACAGAGAAATAGAAAAATGATGGTTGGTATCCAGTTGCCTTTGTAATTTCTGTGTGTCATAATTATGTATGTTTTATTTTTATTTTTTGAGACAGAGTCCCCCTGTGTCAGGCTGGAGTGCAGTGATGCGATCTCAGTTCAACCTCTGCCTCCAGGGTTGAAGCCATTCTTCTGCTTCAGCCTCCCCAGTCGCTGGGATTACAGGCAGGTGCCAATGCACCAGGCTAATTTTTGTATTTTTAGTACAGACGGGGTTTCACCATGTTGGCCAGGCTGGTCTCAAACTCCTACCCTTAAGTGATCTACCCGCCTTGGCCTCCCAAAGTGTTGGGTTACAGGTGTGAGCCCCCATCCACAGTCTTGTATATTATATTATACTAGGTCCCTTCATTTGCACCACCCCTCATGTGTCTATCGCTCCTCTGCCAGGTATGGATTTAGATGTAGAAAAAAAACACATCTCAGAAAGAAATTAATGAAACAAGGATTAAACTACTAGGAAAAATCAAACCCAGCAAGCCCTCCCTGCAAATGATTCTACCTCACAAGCATAGCTTATATCCATCTTTCATTCATTTAGTGTGTAAATCAACCCTACGTTTCACCAGTGGGGCGGGAATTGCCTTTTCCACCGTCTCCTAGATTCCAGTTACGCACCTGGGCCTCCCTTATTTTCATGTCGGTCACTATTAATCAGGTAGGGATTCCTAGTTAGCTCTGAGTTGAATCCAATGGCTGTGAGTATCAAACACACGCTCCTTGTTCCTCCTTAGTTTCCTGTGTACCCAGTGTGCTCTCCATCTCTCTACAGTTGTCTTGTCATTCTCCCCACTTCATTCCCAGCATTTGAGGCAGAGCCTCTTCCTTGAACTAAGAATGTTTCCACCTTTGTGCCTTCACGGCTGAGAGCTCAGTGTGGAAAATCCTTCCGCCAATCTTCCAAGGGTTGAATCCATTTTTTCCATTAAGGTCACAAATATTATCTGATCAGTGAGACCTTCTCTGTCACCTGAAATTATATACTCAGCATTATCTATTACTTATTTTAAATCCTGGCTGGGCGCAGTAGCTCTCGCCTGTAATCTTTGCACTTAGGGACGCTAAGGCGGTGGGATCACTTGAGATTGGGAGTTTGAGACAGCCTGCACAACATGGTGAAACCTCATTTCTACTAAAAAAATATACCAAAAAAATTAGCCGAGTGTGGTGGCGCACAGCTGTAATCCCAGCTACTCGGTAGGCTGAGGCAGGAGAATTGCATGAACCCAGGAGGCAGAGGTTGCAATGAGCTGAGATTGTGCTACTGCACTCCAGCCTGTGGAACAGAGAGAGACTCTACTCAAAAAAAAAAAGAAAAAAAACACACACACACACAAAAAACCCCAGATTTGGTGCACAGATGCTTCCCAATGGATCATTCATTTATTGGTACCCTTGTGCATTCATTCTCTGCCCTCGCATTTACCCATCTGCAATATCAGCGTCCCAAGAGCAGAGGCCAAATGCATCCTGTTTACCATTTGTGGAAGGCAGGAGAATGCTGCCCCACCCCCAAAATGTCCCTGTCTTAGCCTCCATAGCTTGTGAATATGTTATTTTACAGGAAAGGAGGAATGAAGATTGCAGATGGCATTACGGTTGCTAATCAGCTGAACTTAAAAAGAGGGTACGCTGGATGATTTTAGGGAGATTGAGATGGATTATCTTGGTGACCCCAATAGAATCCCAAAGTCCTTAAAAGATGAGGAAGAAGGCAGAGCAGGATTCAGAGAAAAAGGTGTGGGTAAAGAAGAAGAGTCTGAATGATGCCATGTGAGACGTGACCAGCCTTTGTGGGCTTTGAGGAAGGAGGAAGGAGGAAGGGGACCAGGGGCCCAGGAACGTGGGAGCCTCTAGGAGCTGGGAAACGTTAAGGAGCAGATTCTTGCTTGGAACCTTAAAAAGAAATCCAGCCTTACTGTCCCTTTGATATCAGCCCAGTGAAATGCAGTTCATACTTCTGAGTTACAGCACTGTGAGATAATTAAGAAAAACATGTTTTCATCCACGAAGCTTGTGGAAATTTGTTATGGCAACAATAGGAAAAGATTCCACACTGCACAGCCTGAGCATGGGGCATTGGCTGAACGAGTGAGTGAGTGGAAGTGTCGTGTGCATAAATAAGCTAAATTCTCTCTTACTGCACGTCTCTTGCTCTGCTGAGTCAACCAGGGTTGCATCTGGTACACTGCTGATACGAATGTAAATTAGTACAGCCATTACAGAGGAGAAGAGTATGGAAGTTCCTCAAAAAATAAAATGAGGTCGGGCACAGTGGTTCATGCCTGTAATCCCAGCACATTGGGAGGCCGAGGTGGGTAGGTCACTTGAGGTCAGGAGTTGAAGAGCAGCCTGGCCAATATAGCGAAACTCTGTCTCTACTAAAAATATAAAAATTAGCCGAGTGTGGTGGTGGGAGCCAGTAACCCAGCTACTTGGGAGGCTGAGGCTGGGGAATCTCTTGAATCCTGGAGGTGGAGGTTGCAGTGAGCCCAGATGGCGCCACTGCACTCCAGCCTGGGCAACAAGAGTGAAACAGTCTAAAAAAAACAAAAACAAAAACAAAAACCATAAAACAAAATGTAAAAAGACACTTCCAGAGGATCTAGCAATTCCATGACTGGGTGTAAACCCAAAGGAAAGGACATCAGCGTATCGAAGTGACATCTGCACTCCCATGACTGTTCCAGCAGTGTTCACAGTAGCCAAGATGTGGATCAACCTACCTGCCCATCAGTGGGTGAATGGATGGAGAGAATGTGGTACACACACACAATAGGGACAACTCATCCATAGAAAGAGTAACATCCTGTCATTTACAGCCACATGAATGGAACTGGAGGTCATTACAAGTATTTCCATTTCTCACTCATATGCAGGAGCTAAAAGGTGGATCTCACAAAGGTAGAGAGTAGAATGGTGGCTACCAGAGGCCAGGAAGGGAAGGGTGGAGGGTAAAAAAAAAAGAATACTAATTAATTAATTAATTAATTTTGAGAGAGTGTCTCTCTCTGTTGCCCAGGCTGCAGTGCAGTGGCATGATCTCAGCTCACTGCAACCTCCGCCTCCTGCAATTAAGTGCAACTCCTGCCCAACCCTACCAAGTAGCTGGGACTACAGGCATGTGCCACCATGCTCGGCTAATTATTATCATTATAATTATTATTTTGTATTTTTAGTACAGATGGATTTTCCCCATGTTGGCCAGGGTGGTCTTGAGCCCCTGATCTCAAATGATCCACCTGCCTTGGCCTCTCAAAGTGTTGGGATTACAACCGTGAGCCACCGTGCCCAGCCTATAAATGTATTTATGAACAGTAGACTTCACACTTAAAAATGGTAAAGGTGGTAAATTACATAGGTATATTTCACCTCAATAAATATTTCTTCAAACAAAAAGAAAAGGGTGTAGGCGTTGCTGGTGATGACATCTCTCTGTGGGTGACAGGCCAGGATGGGCTTCTGGGAAGTGGGTAAGGTTGAGGGGCTGAGAGAACCTCTGATCTCCCCAGGCAGAGCCCAGTCTCCCTCCTCTGGGTCTGTTCTGACCTCTTTCTCCATCTGCCTGGGTGCCTGGAACCCTGATCAAGGGCATCCTTGCAGGCCATACAGGAGGGTTTGGAGGTGCCCTGTCTGCCATCCTGCGCCCTGACCCCGCCCTTACACCCATGCTGTGTGTTCTGTCTCGGCATCTGTCCATGCTTCTCTCCATCATCAGCAGGAAGCTCCTCAGCTATGGCTCTAGGATCACAAGACATGGGACAGGCATGGTGTTTTCTCACCTGTGACAGAAACGGGCAGTGGGTCACTCGGGTCTGACCACGCATGGGGCAGGGCACGGAAAGAGCCGAAGCATCTGTAGTTCCCTCCGTGGGTCACAGGGCCCAGAGGGAAGTTGGCCTGGAATGTTCCATTGACCCTCAGCACTGCAGTGAGCCTAAGTTCACCGGCCTCCGCCTCCCTGGATAGATGGTAAATGTCAAACAAGCTCCGGGAGCTGCAGGACAAGGTCACATTCTCTCCTGCCTGAACCGTGGGGCCCGGCTGGGCTGAGAGAGAAGGTTTCCCATATAGACCTGGAAGAAGAAGAGGTGGTTTCCTCAGGGAGGTTCTTCCTTGTCACAGCTCTCCTCACACCTGAGCTGAGAACTCACTCCCCTGCTCTATGACTTAATGCTCTCTTTCTCTCTCTCACCCTCCACCCCCATCTCTCTTCATGTCTATTTCCTCCTTCCACCTTCTCTGTCTCTCTAGGTCTCTGACCTCACTTCTCCATCCCTAGCTATGTTTTCTTTTTTTGTACCATTTTATTCTCTCTGACCCTCCTTGGACTGGTTGACTTGATCTTCCTCTTTCTTTAATTCTGAGTCTCTCACTTTCTGTCTTGCTCATAACTTTCTGCATATTTCTATCTATTATCTATTGATCGATCTATCATTTATCTATGTATGTATCTATCATCTATCATCATCTGTGTATCTATGACCTATCTCTCTGTTATCTATCATCTATCAATCAATGTATGTATGTATGCATCTATCCATCTATCATCATGTGTTTATCTGTCTTTCTATCTCTCTATATCTATTTATATATCATCTGTCTGTCTTTCTACTTGTCTATCTATATCATCTATCAGTCATTCATCATCTATTTGTCTATCACCTGTCTCTCTATTATCTATCATCTACCTTTTATCTTTCATCTATCTATATCTATCTGTCCATCTATCATCTGTCTCTCTCCATCTCCTTGTCTTTCTCTGCCTCTCAGTCTCTCTAGTTCCCTTTTGGAGTCTCTGCAATCCATCCTCACATCTTTATCTTTCCCTGTCTTTGTGCCCCTCCCTCAGGGCTCTGATTTTAGGGCTTTTCTCTGCTTCCTTCCATCATACGCTCCACTTCTCTGCCCTCTTTTTCTATCTCTTTATGTGTCTGTGAGTCTCTCAATTCCCTTCTTCTGGCTCATTCTGTGTGTGTGTTCATGTCTTTGCTTTTTGATTTCCCTGATTTCACTCCGTGTCTCTCTGTGGGCTTTTGTTCTCAGTAATCCTATAACATGTGGTGCTATTTGAATATGAGCCTCAGAATCCAGTATGGGGACTCCAGGAACTCACAGCATACAGGGGTTGGTGTTCTGCTCCCTCACCTGGGGCCATGGTGTCCTGGGACGATGACAGCTCCACTGCACGGAAGGCAGAGGTTTAAGAATAAACACAACATCTGTAGGTGCCACCAGCCTGGGGCCACATGGCCCAACTCAGGCCAGATAGATGTGTCTCTTTGGGTTCTCCTGGGAGAGAACACTTTGTAGAGGTAAAACAGAATGGAACCTTCTAACCTGTGCCTGGTCTCTGAACAAAGTCAGCATAGAAGGACACCTCTCTCTGGGATATGTCTGTCTCTCTGTGTCTTCTTTACCTCTTTATCTCTTTTTCTAACACCTTGTATGGCCCCTGTGTCTGGCTTCTATGTTATGACATGAGGTCTGTACTTGTGTCTCCTGTTTCTCTGCCTTTGTTGGTACAGACCTCACCAAGTCACTTTCTCTCCATAGGAACCCCACACTCATCTTCCTCATGACCACCTGGGGCTTCCAGTCCTAGATCATTCACTCCATCTCCCAGCAAGGGTGAGAGGCAGGTCTGTATTCTCTCACCTACGACCACGATGTCCAGAGGGTCACTGGGAGCCGACAACTCATAGGGTAAGTGAGTGACAGAACCAAAGCATCTGTAGGTCCCTGCAAGGGCAGGTGTCATGGGACCCATGGAATAGTTGACCTGGGAACCCGCATCGTGGAGCTGTCCAACGAGGCGCAAGGGGTCCTCAGTGATCCCCTCTCTGTGCAGAAGGAAGCGCTCAAACCTGACATCTGACCAACATTGCAGGATGACCGTCTCTCCCGATTTCACCAGGGGACCTGGGTGGGCCAGGAGGGAAGGTTTTCTGTGGACTCCTAAGAAGAGAGGTTGTGAGTTCAGAAGGCGTCTCCCTTTCTCATCCCATTCATGGGACCTGAAATAAGTGAGGCTTCCCCTCCATGGTGTCTATCTCTCTCCTTCCTGTCTGTGTCTCCGTGTTCTTTTGTGCCCATAACCCCTGTTGCAGGTCCCTCCATCTGTCTCCCTCCCTCTTCCCTGTCTCTCTGTCTCTAGTAGCCCTGATTCCCTTCCCACTGTGCTCAGTGTCACCTCTGAGGCTGTTGTATCTGTTTCCCACTAATCTCTTTCCTGGTGTTTATGTGGGGGTGGAAGAGGAACCATGACAGGCTGCATGTCCAGGCTCTTAGCAGCCTGAATCAATCTCTTTTGGACAGATTGGAAAGGCCGGCAGGAGGTACGAACTCATCAGTAAGGCAGGCATCAGTGTCCCTGTTCCTGATGGGGATTGGGAGCCTCTCCTTTCATGTCTGTGCCTTCTCCATGGCCCCAGCTTCCATAGGGTGGCCCCTGGTGCTGGTTCCAGGAGCATCAACCCCTCCCTATGTGGATCGAGCCTGGTGGTAGCATCAGTATCCCACCCATGCTAAAATCAGTGTAGCCAACCTTCTCCTTGTTTGGTTTCTTAACCTGTGCTTCACCTGGGTTCCTGTGTTGGTTTCCTGTTGCTGCTGGAGAAAATTGTCACAAACATGGGGCAGGAGAGAATACAATGACCCCTTCCACTTCTGGAGAACAGAAATCGGACCCAGTTCTCTCTGGGCTAAAATCAAGGCATCTGCAGGGCTGTGTTTCCTCTGGAGACTCAGGGAAGAATCAGTTCCCTTGACTTCTCCAGCCCTTAGAGGCCACCTGCCTTTGTGGCTCATGGCCTTCCCCCATCTTCAAAGCCCGCTGTGGCTGATGGAGTCTCCCTCCCACGACGTTGCTCTAACCCCACTTTCCTCTTCCTCCTCCTCTCATGAGGACCCTTGTGATTACTCTGAGCACAGCAGGACAGTCCAGGCTGTCTCCCCATCGCAAGGTCAACTCATCAACAACCTGAGCTCCATCTTCCTCTTCAGTCCCCTGCCCTATAACATAAATAGTCACAGGGTTCATGGATTACCATGTAGCCATCACTGGGGACAATTATTCTTCCCACCACAGCAACTATTTCTCTGTACTGAATCCCCCTTTACCCCAAATACAGTCGGGGCCTGGATGATTGGACCCTGATGGACGCCCCCACCAGAAGCTCTGGGATTCAGGAGGTGGGACAGTGAGAAGCCCAGACAGAAAGCCTCTGACCTGTGACCATGATCACCACAGGGTTGCTGGGTGCCGACCACCCAGTGGGGGAGTGTGGGTGTGAACTGCAACATCTGTAGGTCCCTGCATGTGCTGGGGTCACAGGGCCCATGAGAAAGCTGTTCCGGAATATTCTGTTGTAGAGCTCAGGGACAGGCATCCCGTCTTCTTTGGACAGACTGAATTCGTTAAACCCAAGACGAGAGCGACACTGAAGAGTCACATGTTGTCCTTCAGACACCACAGTGCCGGGCCAGGCAGAGAGGAAGGGCTTGTCCTGACCACCTGGGGGAGAAGGAGGCACTACCTTAGAGAGGAGGATGTGGAGCCGCCCCTCCCTCCCTGTGCTCAGAAGATTCTCCCATTTCCACGTTTCTAAGGCTCCTACCACACCTGGGTGCCCAGGGCTACAGGAAGGACCCATCCCGCATAGACATGGCGTCTCCCTACAGCAAGTGTCAGCTGAGAACTTTGAGCAGGTGCTGAAGAAGCGACTCTTACTAGATTTTAACACTGCAAAATTACTTACATAAAAGAACACAAGGTAGACACAGGATGGAGGGCATGATCAGCTAATGCATGAACCATAATAAACAACTGAGCCCCTATTAGAAGATCTGGAATGTCAGGGTCATGACTGTGGTTCCCCCACCTCTTAGGTAGAATGACAGCAGCCACATTGCAGCCCCTACCGTCATGGAAACGCTGGAGGGTGTGAGTTATGCTCTTGTCCTCAGAGGCCTGTTGTTCCTTGCACTGCTTCTCTCCCTTCCTCTGCCGGTGACACCACTTCCTCCCTGCACACCACTCCTTTGAGCACTTCAGTCTCCCCCTGGGTCCCCACAGACTCAGCCAAGGGAAAGAAAGGCCGGGGAGGGCTAGGACAGAACTGTGGCGAAGCTTCCCCTGGCTTCCTTTTCCTAGTTCATGAGAGATTCCCACATGGCTTCCCATGGTCAGCCCATCAGTCAACCCCCTGTGTCGCCTGCCTCCCGTTTCAGGAGCATCATCTTATGTGGGGAGATGACAACCTAAGGTTTGGGGGAAGGACTCACCCACATGTGGCCAGGGCCCCTCCAGCAAGAAGAACCCTGGAAAGAAAGATCATGATGGATGATCCATCTGTACATCACCTCCAGGCCCATATCTCCACTCCAGGCCCATATCTCCACCTCTAGGCCCATATCTCCACTCCAGGCCTATATCTCCACCTCCGTCCTATATCTCTACTCCAGGCCCATATCTCCACTCCAGGCCTATATCTCCACCTCCGTCCTATATCTCTACTCCAGGCCCATATCTACACTCCAGGCCCATATCTCCACCTCCAGGCCTGTATCTCCACCTCCAGGCCCGTGTCTCCATTCCAGGCCCATATCTGCACTCCAAGCCAACATCTCCACTCCAGGCCCGTATCTCTACTCCAGGCCCATATCTACAGTTCCAGGCCCATATCTCCACCTCCAGGCCCATATCTCCACTCTAGGCCCATATCTCCACCTCCAGGCCCGTATCTCAATTCCAGGTCCATATCTGCACTCCAAGCCAATATCTCCACTCCAGGCCCATATCTACAGTTCCAGGCCCATATCTCTACTCCAGGCCCATATCTCTACTTCAGGCCCATATCTACAGTTCCAGGCCCATATCTCCACTCCAGGCCCATATCTCCACCCCAGGCCCATATCTCCACTCCAGGCCTATATCTCCACTCCAGGCCCATATCTCCACTCCAGGCCCAGATCTCCACTCCAGGCCCAGATCTCCACCCCAGCGCTCCCTCCCTCGATTCCCTTCCAGGACTCACCAACACACGCCATGCTGACGACCATGAGCGACATGGTGCTGCCGGTGCAGACAGGCGGCTGCGCCCCAGCTCAGTTCAGCAGCACACAGGATGTTGTGAGGGGCTCATGCAGTTTACATGCTGACCACATCATGGGAGGATGACGTATGCAGGCTATTTCTACCTTGCATGAGGCCCAGTGGCTGTTTGGTCAAGAGCGGAACATGGCTTCCTGGAAATTGTTCCAACTAGAATTGACACCTTGCATCCTTCACTATAACCAACTCAAAACACGTCTCAGATCCAATCTCTCATACAGGAGATGACTGAATGCTTGGCTTACATTAAAGACTTTTGATGTATTTTTGTTGTTTTTATCTGAGATTCAAACTCTTCTTCATGTGCTATTTTCCCCAGGCTGTTCTTTGACTTCAGAGTTCAAGCAATCCTCCTGCCCCAGCATTTCTAGCAGCTGGCAGTATGTCACAATCTGCCACACCCAAGTCACAACTTTTAGAACTTTTTTTTTTTTTGAGACGCAATCTCACTTCGTCACCCAGTTTGGAATGCAGTGGTGAGACCTCGGCTCATTGCAGCCTCCACCTCCCAGGTTCACGCAATTCTCGTGCCTCAGCCTCCTAAGTAGCTGGATTTACAGGCACCCACCATCACGCCCACCTAATTTTTGTACTTTTAGTAGAGAGGAGGTTTCTCCATGTTGGCCAGGCTGGTCTTGAACTCCTAACCTCAAGTGATCTGTCTACTTCAGCCTCCCAAAGTGCTGAGATTACAGGTGTGAGCCACCATGCCTGGCCGGGACATTCTATATGTGTGCGTATGTGTGCGTTTATATACATATGGTTATACACACACACACACACACACACCCTAAGCACTCACATATATAGTTGTTTCAAATTTTAAAAAATATAAATTTTGTATTTTTCTTTCTTTTTCTCACATTTGTGTTTCTATGACACCATATACATATTGAATTTTATAGTTCTATTTTATTCTTTTGGATTGCAGTTTAATAGTCCATACATAACTTTATCAACATGTAATTATCCACTCTTTTTATCATGGACATTTGTGTTGTTTCCGGATTTTCTCTTTTATAACTCGGGCCTTGATAATCGTGTTTCTGTGTGATCCCTTGCATACATATGCTGAATTAATTAGACATATTTACCTAGGAATGAAATTATTGGTTTTGGGTGCAAGTTGGTGTTGAGCTTAACCAGGAAGTGCCAAAATATTTCCATCATGACCAAATGTGGCCTGGAAAGTTTTTTGGGGTCAATTTTCCTGTTTCTTCTAAGGAACAAAATTGATGTCACTGATTTTTCTGTCCTGTTTGTCATTTATGAATATACGTACATATGCACGTATATATTTGCTTGCCATTTTATGTTTTTCCTCGACGTTACTTTGGAATTAATTTGCTGATGTGTAGTATTTCTGCAAGCGAAAGTTACCTATTTACTCAGCTCTTCCTTCTTTTCTAACACAGACATTTGAGGCTTATTTTCCTTTAACACTGTTCTATCTGTATCCCCAGTCATTTGCCGAGATGTGTTTTCATTTTTAATTGATACAAAATATTTTCCACCTTTCTTTGAAATGTTTTTCTTCCACTCATTGTTTATTGCTATGTGTGTTTATTAATTTTAAAATATTTGATAATTTCCCCAGCATTTCCTTGTTGTACATTTATAATTTAATTCAACTGTTTCATCTATCATATTACCTATGATTCAGCATTTAAAAATTTATTTTGGTGAATGTTCCAGGGGTGCTAGACAAGTTTGTGGATTAGGAAGATTTGAGGTGGATGTTTTCTAAATGTCAGTTAAGAAAAAAATCATTCAAATGTTTTTCTTTATTTAAAAAAAATAGAGACGGGGTCTCACTATGGTGCCCAGGCTGGTCTCAAACTCCTGGCCTCAAGTGATCCTCCCATTTTGGCCTCCCAAAGTGCTAGGATTATTGAAATTATTAAATGTTTCATATCAACACCCAACCTTATGCACCCGCCGCCTACACAAATGTTTTTCAAGTCTTTCATATGCTTAATAATTTTCTGTGTACTTGTTCTGGAAGTGAGGTGAATGTTGCTATCTCTAGCTGCAATTTGGATGTGATTGATTATGTTTTGAATTATGCCTTTAATTTAATGTGTTTTGAGGTTCCAGCTTTAGGTGTGTAGGCATTTAGGATTATTATGTCTTATTTATGAATTTGCCTCTTTGTCATTATGAAGTACTCCTCTTCATATCTCCATATATCTCTTCTTTGTATGTGCATGGTGAAATATTTCATTCTTTGAGTTAAGAAACTTCTATTGAGGAATACTTTTTATTACAAACATTTACCTATTCTATGTATACAACTGACTAGAAGCATATTTTGCACTGGGCATTATCATGACAATGTAATGTCATTCTTTCAATATTTACATCTTGTGGATTAGTATTTGAAGTGCAGCTTATGTAGACAGCATAAGGTTGGGTGTTGATATGAAACATTTAATAATTGCACACGTATTTGCCTCTTGGGATACTTCCACTTTTTTGAATTTCAAGTTACTAAATGGTATCATTAATCTTTGCTTCAAGAGCTTAACATTTATTGTAGAACAATGCTTCATGTAATAAATTGTGAGACATTTTTAATGGCACCTTTATTGCAGGAAAATGTTTTCCTTTTCAGGTTGAAAGATTCTAGTTTGAAATATTTTCTTGTAGCACTTTAAAAATGTTGGTCCACCTATTTCTTACTTTCATAGTTTTGAATACAAAGTTTGCTGTCATTCTTGTATTTCTTCTTCTGTTTTTTATTTATTTATTTTTGACAGAATATCTTGCCGTCTCACCCAGGCTGGAGTGCAGTGGCATGATCTTGGCTCACTGCAACCTCTGCCTTCCAGGTTTCAGCAATTCCTGCCTCAGCCTCCTGAGTAGCTGGGACTACAGGCATGCGCCACCATACCCAGCCAATTTTTTTTTTTGTATTTTTTTTTTGTAGAGATGAAGTTTTGCCATATTGGCCAGAACTCCTGACCTCAAATGATCCACCTGCTTTGGCCTCCCAAAGTGCTGGGATTACAGGTGTGAGCCACTGTGCTCAGGCTATTTATTCCTTTTTATATAATATGAATTCACATTCATACATACCAGGGGTTAGGATTTCAACAAACGTTTCTGGGGGAGACCACTCAAAACACAGCACTCATCCTTGGTTATTTCCAGCCATGGAGCCTGTATCAATATCCTGGTGAATTATCTAAGCTGTCCACCTACCTACCCCAAATCCTCATGGTCACATAAAAGGCTAGTATAGTATAATAATTTTTCTTTCCCTGCTTATCTACAGTGATGAAGAAACGAATATTCAAAGGGAAAAATCTTAGCTTTAGGTATAGGGTAATTCTTCTTCCTATTTTTAAATAACTTCAACCTTTACTGTAGATTAAAGGTATGCATGCAGGTTTGTTACATAGGCATATTGTGTGACTCTGAGGTTTGTGGTTCCAACAATGCCATCACCCAGGCAATGAGCATAGAATCCAACAGGTGTTTCTTCAGCCTATACCTCCCTACTCCTCCCCCCATCTGTAGTCCTCGGTATCTGTTGTTTCCATCTTTATGTTCATGTGTATTCAATGTTTGGTTCTCAGTTATAAGTGATAACATGTGGTATTTGGTTTTCTGTTCCTGGGTTAGTTCACTTAGGAGATTGACCTCCTGCTACATTCATGTTGCTGCAAAGGACATGATTTCATTATTTTTTATGGCCATGTAATGTTCCATGTGTATATGTAGCACATTTTCTTTAACTAATCCACTGTTGGTGAGCACTTAGGTTGACTGCAAATCTTTGCTATTCTGAATTGCACAGCAATGAATATACTAGTGCATGTGTCTTTTTGACATAGTTAATTACCTTCCTTTTGGTATATACCCAGTAGTGGGATTGCTTGATTGAATAGTAGTTCTATTTTAAGTTATTTGAGAAGTCTCCAAACTGCTTATCACATTGGCTGAACTAGTTAACATTCCCACCAAGAGTGTATAAGTGTTCCCTTTTCTCCACAATCTTGTCAGCATCTGTTATTAAAAAAAACAAAAAACTTTTTAGTAATTGCTTCTGCTTCTCTGATTGTTGTGAGATGGTATCTCACTGTGGTTTTAATTTGCATTTCTCTGATGATTACTGATAATAAGCATTTGTTCATATGTTTTTTGGCCATGTGTACATCTTCTTTTGAGAAGTGTCTGTTCATGTCATACTTAATTGAGGTTTTTTGGTTTTCTGCTTGTTGATTTGTTTACATTCCTTATAGATTCTGGATATTAGAACTTTGTCAGATGCATAGTTTGCAAATATTTTCTCCCAGTCTGTAGGTTATCTGTTTACTCTGTTGATACTTTCGTTTGCTGTGCAGAAGCTCTTCAGTTGAGTTAGGTCCCAATTTCTGTCTTTGTCACAATTGGTTTTGGGGAGTTAGCCATAAATTCTTTGCCAAAGTCTATCTTGAGAAGGATATTTCCTAGGTTTTCTTCTAGAATTTTAATATTTTGAGGTTTTACATTTAAATCTTTAAACTATCTTGGGTTAATTTTTGTATATAGTGAGAGTTAGGGGTCCAGTTCTATTATTTTGCATATGAGTAGTCAGTTATCCCAGAACTATTTATTGAAGAAAGGGTACTTTCCACATTGCTTGTTTTTGTCAATTTTTTCAAAGATGATTGTAGGTATGTAGCCTCATTTCTGGGTTCTCTATTCTGTCTCATTGGTCTATGTGTCTGTTTTTGTAGTAGTATCATGCTGTTTGGGTTACTATAGCATTGTAGTATAGTTTGAAGTTGGGTAATGTGATGCCTGGGCTTTGTTCTTTGTGCTTAGGATTCCTATGTGTATTCAGGCTCTTTTTTTGGTGCCAAATACATTTTAGAATAAATTTTTATAATTTCGTGAAAAATGACATTGCATTTTGAAATGGATAGCATTGAGTCTGCAATTTGTTTTTGGAAGTATGGCGATTTTAACTATTTGTTCTCCTAATTCATGAGCATGGAATATTCTTCCATTTGTTTGTATCATTTCTTATTTCTTTCAGAAGTGTTTTGTAGTTCTCCTTGTAGAGAATTTTCACCTTCTTGGTTAGATGGATTCCTAGGTATTTTATTTTCTTTGTGGCTAGTGTAAATGGAATTGTGTTCTTGATTTAGTTCTCAGCTAGAATGTTAGTGGTGCATAGAAATGTTACTAATTTGTGTACATTTTTTTAATCCCGAAACTTTATTGAATTTGTTTATCAGTTTCAGGAGCCTTCTGACAGAGTCTTTAGGGTTTTCTATGTATAAAATTATTTCATCAGCAAAGAGAGACAGTATCACTACTTCTTTTCCAATTTTAATGCCTTTTATTTCCTTCTCTTGCCTGATTGCTTTGGCTAGGACTTCCAGTACCATGTTGAATTAAAATGGCGGGAGTGGTCATCCTGGTCTTGTTTCGGTTCTCAAGGGGTATGGTTCCAGCTTTTGCCCATCAATATGATGTTGGCTGTGGGTTTGTCATAGATGGCTCTTAATATTTTGAGGTATGTTCCTTTGATGCCTATTGACAGTTTTTATCATGAAGGGATGTTGGATTTTACAGAAAGCTTTTTCTGCATCTATTGAGATGATCATATAGTTTTTGTTTTTAATTATGTTTATGAGGTGAATCACATTCGTTGACTTTGTAGGTTGAACCAACCTTGCATCCCAAAAATAAAGCTTACTTGATCATGTGAATTAACTTTTGATGCACTGACAGATTCAATTTGCTAGCATTTTGTTGAGGATTTTATGTCTATGTTCATTAAGGATATTTAGTTGTAGTTTTCTTTTTTTCATTATGTCTCTGACAGATGTTGGTATCATGGTGATGATGGCTTCATAGAATGAGTTAGGAAGAAGCCCCCACTCCTTGATTTTTTCCAAAAGTTTCAGTAAGATCGGTATCAGTTCTTCTTTGTATGGCTGTTGGATTTTGGCTGTGAATCCATCTGGTCCTGGGCTATTTTTAGTTAGTAGGGTTTTTATTACTGATTAAATTTCTGAACTTGTTATTGGTCTGTTCAGGTTTTCACTTTCTTCCTGGTTGAAATATGATAAATTTTGTGTTACCAGGAATTTATCCATTTCTTCTAGGTTTTCTAGCTTGTTTGTATAGAGGTGTTCATAATAGTCTTTGACGATCTTTTCTATTTCTGTGGGATTGTTCGTAACATTGTTTTGTCAGTTCTATTTGTGTTTATTTGGATCTTTTCTCTTTTTCTTTGTTAATCTAGCTAACAGTCTATGAATTTTGTTTATTTTTTTTCAAAGAAAAACTCTTGGTTTTATTTATCTCTTGTATGGACTTTTTGGTCTCAATTTATTCAGTTCTCTCTGACTTTAGTTATTTCTCATCTTTTGCTGGCCTTGGGTTTGGACTGTTCCTTTTTTTTAATAGTTCCTCTAGATGCAGTGTTAAGTCACTAATTTGAGATCTTTCTAAACTTCTGATGAGGCATGTATTGCTATAAATTTTCCTCTTATCACTGCTTTAACTGCATCCCAAAGGTTTTGGTAAGTTTGTTTCTATTTTTATTAATTTTAAATAATGTTTTGTGATTTCTGCTTTAATTTCATTGTTCACCCAAGAGTTCTCAAGGGGTACAGTTCCAGCTTTTGACCATTCAATATGATGTTGGCTGTGGATTTGTCATAGATGGCTCTTAATATTCATTCAGAAACAAGTTGTTAAATTTCCATGTTTTTCTGTAGTTTTGAGAGATCATCTTGGTATTTTTTTCTATTTTTATTGTGTGCCTTGTTATGATTTTGATTCTTTGAATTTATTGAGACTTGCTTTGTGGCCAGTCTTAGAATATGATATGTTTTTTGTGTGTGCAGATAAGAAGAATCTATATTCTGCAGTTGTTGGGTGGAGTACTCTGTAGATGTCTATGAGGTCCAATTGGTCAAGTGTTGTCTTTAAGACCAGAATTTCTTTGTTAGTTTTCTGTTTTAGTGATTCATCTGACGTTGTTAGTGGGATACTGAAGTCCCTTACTATTATTGTGTGGCTGTCTAACTCTTTTCATAGGTGAAGAATAACTTGTTTTATGAATCGGGGTGCTCCAAATTTGGGTGCATATATATTTAGAA
Source organism: Homo sapiens (assembly GCF_000001405.40). Classification (NCBI taxonomy): domain Eukaryota; kingdom Metazoa; phylum Chordata; class Mammalia; order Primates; family Hominidae; genus Homo; species Homo sapiens. The sequence continues at coordinate 18,971 of NW_016107301.1, read as the reverse complement.
TAGTTAAGTCTTCTGTCAAATTGAACCCTTTATCATTTTGTAATGCCCTTCTTTGTCCTTCCTGATTGCTGTTGATTTAAAGTGTGTTTCATGTGATATAAGAATAGGAATGCCTTCCTTTTTTTTGTTTCCTGGTTGCCTAGTAAATATTTCTTCATCCTTTTACTTTGAGCCTGTGGGTGTCATTACATGTGAGATGGGTCTCTTGAAGACAGCAGGCAGTTGGCTCTTGGCTTTTTATCCACGTTGCCACTCTATGCCTTTTATGTGGGGAATTTAGGCCATTTACATTTCTTCTCCTGATATATCCTTTTTATATTTTTATGATTGCCTTTTAAAATATATTGAATGGTTGTAATTCCAGGGAAATGTCTTTCAGAACAGTATTTATTCCCATCTACATGTTTTGGAGAGTGCACTAGGGGACATTGAAGTTTATTTCCTGAAAAGAGTTTAATTTTAAAATGTATTTTATTTAATAACTCAATGATTCAGGGAATGTCTAGGTATTTCAGAGATTGTTTTAGACAGTTTGTTTTCTTGTGATATGTGACCACTTCATCTAAGCTGAATAATGTCTTCATAATGTCCACTTAGAATCTTTTGAATTCTGTAGGATCTGTACTGATGTCATTGTTTCCTTTCTGATATTGGTAATTTTCCTGGGGTAGGATTCTTAGCTCCTCCTGAGGTCCTGCCTCTAAAATTCAGGGAACAATGAGTCAGATTAGTACTCTGATTTCAAAGGGAAAGCTGATCATCTACCATTTTTTGTTTATGTAAATGGACACATTAACATCCCTTGTCTGAACCTTAGTTACCTTGTTTGGAGCATTTTGCTATAAATCTCACTTCTCAGAGTGGTTGTGGGGCTTGATGTGGCTGGGGTATGGGATGGCTTAAACATAATTTATTTCCAGACCAGGTTAAGGCATGAAGGGGTTGGGACTTGTTAGAATCCTGTTGTCGGACTCCACAGTAAGGGTAGACATTTGAGGCACCCAATCAAAAACCTCAGTTGTTCCTAGCACTGAGAAATTTGATAGAATGTTTCTAAAACATTATTCATGGTCTAATGCACAAAAAGTAAAGTGATAGCCCTGGAAGTAGACAGGGAACCATAAGAAAAAAGAGAGAGCAAAGCTCAGTGGTCACCAGTGCCTGGGACCATCAAGGGGTTATTAAGGAGGAAGTTTCCACCTCTGTGGGGAACAGAAGAGGCTCCCTAGGGTCCACACACACAGGGAGTGAGCCAAGACTCTGGGCGAGGCTGGAAGCTCTGGGTCTCCTTCTGTGAGATTTTCTTTTTTTTTTTTGAGATGGAGTCTTGCTCTGCCACCCAGGCTAGAGTGCAACGGCGCGATCTCGGCTCATGGCAACCTCTGCATAAAGTGGTATGTATTTAAGGCATGCATTAGACAAATTACTAAGTATTTACTAGATAAGAAAAAATTATATCTGAATCTTTTCAAATTGCCGTCTTATGCATTATATTCTCTTTTTATAGTGCAATTTCTTAATAGTTAATGCCAGAAGATTTTTTTTTCTTCCTTTCTTTCTTTCTTTTTTTTTTTTTTTTGAGACAGAGTCTCACTCTGTTGCCAGGCTGGAGTGCAGTGGCACGATCTCGGCTCACTGCAACCTCCGTCTCTCGGGTTCATGCCATTCTCCCGCCTCAGCCTCCTGAGAAGCTGGGACTACAGGCACCCTCTACCATGCCCAGCTATTTTTTTTTTTTTTTTTGTATTTTTAGTAGAGACGGGGTTTCACCATGTTCGCCAGGATGATCTCTGTCTCTTGAACTCGTGATCCACCTGCCTTGGCTTCCCAAAGTGCTGGGATTACAGGCATGAGCCACTGCACCTGGTCGCCAAAAGATATTTTTAAAAACCTAAATGCCACTTGAAATGAATAAGACCCTCAATAATTCATGGGATATACATGTGAACTTATGACATATGATGAAATAAGCAGGTTACAAAATTGTAATATATCAAGCAAGGTAGAAAGCCATGGCAGAAAAAGAGACAAGCATTTTCAAGATAAGGAATGAAAGAGGGGAAACAGTACTATTGATTTTACAGATTTTACAAAGATATCTTAGGTGTGTTTTCCTAAATAATAAATGTACCCTCCTTTTGACCTTTATGTAATGAAATAACCATGCACACATTTTCAAATAATACTTCATTTACTTGACTTTATGCTTGAAAATTGAAGTATGGTGCTGTTTGTTATTTTCATTTATGCATTTTACTACCTTGTAATATTCCACTGAGTCTATTTACCACACTATGTTTATTTTTTTCGTAGGTGGACTTTGGTATTTTATAGCTTTGGCTAATAGGAACAGCATTCCTATAACAGTTGTGAGTGTATCATGACACATAAGTAGACATTTATCTCTAGGGTACATAATTAAGTACATAATTAAGAAGGGTCACAGCCATGTGCCTCCTCTTTTTAACTAGATAATTCCAATACACTTCCTTAATTGATTAAAGCAATTTGTACTCTTACTATTAATGTACTAAAATTCTACATGTTCAATATTCTTTCCAAAAAATGATTTTGCTACTTTTTTCTTTTCTTGAGACTGAGTCTTGCTCTATCACCCAGGCTGTAGTGATCTCGGCTCACTGCAACCTCCGCCTCCTGGGTTCATGCGATTCTCGTGCCTTGGCCTCCCAAGTAGCTGGGATTACAGGCAGGCGCCACCATGTCTGGCTAATTTTTGTATTTTTAGTAGAGACAGCGTTTCACCATGTTGGCCAGGCTGGTCTCGAACTCCTGACCTCAGGTGATCCTCCTGCCTCGGCCTCCCAAAGTGTTGGGATTACAGGCATGAGCCACCACACCCGGCCTATTTTTTTCTTTTCCCTCCATTGTGCTATGATTTTTGACATTACAATTTTACTGAAACTACACCATAAGAATGAAGCAGAAATTATTATAACCTTTAAATAAACTTTACAACTGGTTCATACTCGTGTGAACGACAATTCTTTTGACTACTTCCCAACTGTGCATTCAATGGCGTCATATGGGCACCCTGAAGTTGGCCATAAAGGACGTATTTATACCACACTAATCAGCAAATACCATAAATCTGGGGCTTTATATGTTCAGAGTTTTCTTAAGAAAATAATTTTTTCAGAGAGCCAGTTTAACAGAATACCATGAGGCTGAGCCTTCGAGCGTTAGTGTGCTCATTCTGAGAGATGATATTTCTGGACAAAGTACACAGGTATCATCCGATGAAGAGTGAAGGGAATTCAGGGTCCAGAGAGGGTGCTAGGGCATCATTTCAGACTCATATTTCCCTTTTTTTTTTTTTTTTTGGAGATGGAGTCTTGCTCTGTTGCCCAGGCTGGAGTGCAGTGGCAAGATCTTGGCTCACTGCAACCTCCGCCTCCCGGGTTCAAGCTATTCTCCCGCCTCAGCTTCCTGAGCAGCTGGGATTACAGGTGCTCACTGCCACACCCAGCTAATTTTTGTATCTTTTAGTAGAGACAGGGTTTCACCATGTTGGCCAGGTTGGTCTCGAACTTCTGACCTCAAGTGATCCGCCCACCTCAGCCTCCCAAAGTGCTGGGATTACAGGTGTGAGCCACTGTGCCTGGCCTCAGACTCATGTTTCAAAGTCCCAAATACAAATCTGCCCACCTATTCCAGTTATTTAATCCAGATCTATGCTCAGAACTGAAAAGATGGAGAATCAATAGTTCACTTTAGAGAATGCGGTAGTTGGAAACAAAGACAAATGTATTACATGACAGTGGACCAGAGCACGTGATCGCAGGGGTGTGGATGCAAACCCACCATGGGGGACGTGCCTTCACATCACAGAGAGCGAAAGGAAGGGAGGGGCAGACACGGAGGATCCACAACAGCAGGACTGAAAGCACTGCCATTTAATGGAAGTTTAATGGAGGAAGCGTTCTCTACAGGCACCCAGACATCTTCCTGAACCTGACCCAAGCCTCCCCTTCTCGACTTTCTCAGTAGACGGTTTCCCGAATGATGGTCCAGACTTTCTTCCAGAACCTCCTAGGACTATCAGATTCATTGCCAAGGCTCTGGCACTCTGAAGGGTGCATTGTTCTCTCATGTATTTACCTCCTTGCTGCATCTTGGGGACTTCTCTAGCTGTGCCAGTCCTAAAGCAGCAGAATCCCGAGGACCACCAGGACCAAGCCAGCCACAGCCACGCGGATGAGATTCTCCACTGTGTAATCCTGGGGGTGTGAGGCTGGGGATGGTGGACCAAGAGGTCTCAGAGGTCAGGGCAGATCAACATCACCCGGGACCCCTGGATGTCCACCCAGGGCACCCACCTCCCCTTCACAGGACCTGACCCTCTGTGCCAGCCCCATAACCGAGAGCATCTCCTTACACACCAGTCTTGGAGTCTGTCTTGTTTTGCGATGGGCTGAGGGTCTCAGCTGCTCCTGAGAATCAACCAAAAAAGGGGGAGGTGTGTGAGGAGTTGAAGAGACTTAAGCCAACATGTCCCTCAGTTGCTGCATTCCTTTGTGTCTACACTTCTCCTAACTGCTCTGTAGTTGTGTGATAGAACCTTTCCCTGCCGTGGCAGAGGTACATTCGCATACATACATACATATATGCATAGGTGTAAATATGTGTGTATACATAATATGTGTTATGCATATGTGTATACATAATATGTATTATGCATATGTGTATAGATAATATGTATTATGCATATGTGTATGCATAATATGTATTATAAGATATAGTGTGAGTATATATAAATATATAATATATAAGATATATAATAGTGTGTGTATACATATAAATATATAATAAGATATGTAATAGTGTGTGCATATATAAATATATAATATATAATAAGATATATAATAGTGTGTATATATAAATATATAATACATAATATATTATAAGATATATAATAGTATGTATATATAAATATATAATACATAATATATAAGATATATAATAGTGTGTGTATATATAAATATATAATACATTATATATTATAAGATATATAATAGTATATATAAATATATAGTACATAATATATAATAAGATATATAATAGTGTGTGTATACATATAAATATATAATAAGATATGTAATAGTGTGTGCATATATAAATATATAATATATAATAAGATATATAATAGTGTATATATATAAATATATAATACATAATATATTATAAGATATATAATAGTATGTATATATAAATATATAATACATAATATATAAGATATATAATAGTGTGTGTATATATAAATATATAATACATTATATATTATAAGATATATAATAGTATATATAAATATATAGTACATAATATATAATAAGATATATAATAGTGTGTGTATACATATAAATATATAATAAGATATGTAATAGTGTGTGCATATATAAATATATAATATATAATAAGATATATAATAGTGTATATATATAAATATATAATACATAATATATTATAAGATATATAATAGTATGTATATATAAATATATAATACATAATATATAAGATATATAATAGTGTGTGTATATATAAATATATAATACATTATATATTATAAGATATATAATAGTATATATAAATATATAATACATAATATATAATAAGATATATAATAGTGTGTGTATATATAAATATATAATACATAATATATATTATAAGATATAATAATGTGTGGGTAATATAAATATATAATACATAATATATAAGATATATAATAGTGCATATATAAATATATAATACATAATATATATTATAAGATATAATAATGTGTGGGTATATATAAATATATAATACATAATATATATTATAAGATATAATAATGTGTGGGTATATATAAATATATAATACATAATATATAAGATATATAATAGTGTATATATAAATATATAATACATAATATATATTATAAGATATATAATAGTGTGTGAGTATATATAAACACATACATATATATTTGAAGTGAGAAGAGTATTATATAATTTAGAAACAAACAAGTTTGTCCTCCATTTTCTTGTGGTTAATGTAATTATTATCAATAAATCAGAAGAGATCATTTCGGAAAGGATTGAAAGGGAGTGTGTCTGTGGTAAGTTAATAGGAACTAAAATTAGCATACCCAAACCAATAGCTTTCTCATCCATACGTAACTAATTTTAGAAAATAGAAAGGAATCAAAGACTTTCAAATTATTCAAGTAGTAAAACAATGCTTAAAATTCACAATGTCCACAATTTTTATGAATACAACTTCAAGCATCTGCTAACTGTATAAAGTTTAATTTTAAATGTATTGGATACAAAGACATTATTAATGAGAAGTTATTCTCCATCATGAATGCACATATTTAATTTAATCCCAAAGAAAATCAGAGCACAGTTATTTTACATCATAACGCTACCTAACAAATTAAATGTGTAAATTATAAATGCCAGCATTGCTTTGAAATCTTCAGAAACAGAAAGAGAAACTAGATATGTGGACATAAAAAATAAAGGACAGAAAGGAATTGCACACGAGGTTTGCTGTTGAATAATTTGCCTGCATTGCTGCAGTGAGCAGGTGCATGATCTCCCCTTCGTCTCAGGTATGCACTGAGTATTTTGGGGCCGCCAGGGGAGCCCAGGTGGGGAGTGGGTGGGGCCTCCATCTTCTACCCTCAGCCTAAGCATGATTCCTCCAAGGTTTCTCCATATCTCATTTCAGCCCTCCCTGGCCTTTAGCCCCATCTGAGGTCTCTGGGGTGGGAGCCCAGGATTAGGAGGTCCCTGACTATTTCCACCCTCTCATGGGCTGGGCCCTCCCCTGCCGACCCTCCCCCTTTACTCCCCTCTTTCCTTAGCGTCCTGAGCTCTCCTGGGGGCAGGGCCTGAGCTGAGGTTTGAGCTCAGAGAGGACAGGGTCAGCGGCCTCACCTGAGACCACGAGCTCCAGGGGGTCACTGGGGTGAGACAGCAGGTAGGGGAAGAATCTGCGTGAGCTGTAGCACCTGTAGGTCCCCGCGTGGGCTGAGGTCACAGGACTCATGGGGAATTCAGCCTGGTGCTGCTGAGCTTGGTGCTCTGATCTCAGACGCAGTGGGTGATGGGCTGCCCCCTCCTTGGTCAGAAGGAAAGTGTCCAACTGCTCCCGTGACTGACACAGCAGGGTCACGTTCTCTCCTGAGGCCACCGTGGGGCCCGGCTGCACCGAGAGGGAGGGTCTGCCACGGATCTGTCCTGGAGAGAAGAAGGATGGGTGAGGGGCTGCCCCACCTCGTTCTGAGCTGACACCTCCCCAGGCCTCTCCCTGGGACCCTCAGTGTCTCTGTCTCTGTTTTCTCTGAGTCTCCCCCTCCCCGCCCATCCCCTGTCTCTGTCTGTCTCTCCGTCCCTTAGGACCCCCACCCCTCATCCCGGCCATCACCACCTGGGCTCCCCCAGCAGGGCCTGTGCGGAGCCTGGGTCCCTGACTGAACCTGCTGGGCTCCTCACCTGCGATCAGGATGCTCAGGGGGTCACTGGGGGCCGACCACTCGGAGGAGAGGTTGTGTGCACCGTAGCATCTGTACTGGCCCCCGTGGGAGACCCTCACAGGGCCCAGGGTGAAGTTGGCCTGGGAGAGCCCAGCCTGGGGCTGCCGGCCAGAGCCCTGGACGAGGTCATGTCCCCCCTCCTTGTACAGAGTGAATTTGTCATAGCCGACATCAGAGCCACACTGGAGGGTCAGATTCTCCCCAGGGGCCACGACAGGGCCCTGCAGGGTCAGGAGGGAGGGCTTCCTAGACACGCCTGGAGGGAAAGAAGAGTCGGGACTAGGAGGGCTGGTTCCTCCCACACCCCTTCCTTCTCCCCTCCTGGCCCTGCAGGTCTCACTGTCTCTCACACTCAGTGTCTCTGGGCTCAGGAGTCCCAAACTTCCCTTGTTCCACCCTCCTACATGGGGCTCCGTGAGAGTAAGTTCTCAAAAATAAATAGGGCAAGGAGGAAGACATCCATACCTAAGACCAGGATCTCCATGGTATCACTGGGTTCCGACCACACCCAGGGGAAGTTCGTGTAATGCCCATAGCATCTGAACATCCACCGGTGACTGGCAGCCACACGGCCCACAGGGAACAGGGCCAGGGACAAGGGACAGCCCCTTGGAGAGTTCCTGTGAGTCCAGCATCCAGGAGAGCTTGTTTTCTCCTTCCTCAATCAAAATGAACCTGTGAAATCCCACCCTTGAGCTACACTGGATGGTCACGTTCTCTCCTGAGGTCACCACAGGGCTCGGCAGGGCTGAGAGAGTGGGTTTTCTGTGGGCTCCTAGGAGAGAAGGAGACACTGTCTTAAATGGGGCTCACGCGTCCCACATCATCCCCCAGGGCTGAGTTATTAGAACGGAGATGCCCTTGAGAGCTGACCCCCTTCCTGCAGGCAGAGCCTGGGGCTGGGACCCCTGAGTGTCCTCTTACCTGTCACCACCAGCTCCAGGGGCTCGCTGCGCTCTGACCAGCCTGCAGGGCTGAGATAGTGACAGTGGTATCTCCCTGCATGGTGCTCTCTCATGGATGGGATGAAGAAGTTGGTCTTGTTCCTGGGCTCTGGTGGGCTCTGTTGGTACCAGGTCATGGGGTTTCCTTCCTTGGTGAGATAGTAACCCTGGGTATCCAGGGTCCCCTGGCACCAGAGGGTCATGGGGCTCTCCCAGGTAATCACAGAGCCTGGCTCAGCCCAGAGGCTGGGTTTGGGGAGGGTCCCTGGAAGAAACCACAGGCTGGGGTCCACAGACCTCCCCCGCTCCTCATTCCCAGCTCAGGTCACAGACCCTCTTGATTTTCTCACCCTCAGTTCAGAAGCCCCTGAGATGAGAGTCCAGGTGCTGAGTGTGAGGTCAGGCATGGGAGGTTAGCAGAGACTCACCTGCAAGTGCTTGGGCTTTCTGGCCCAGACTCAGCCATGGAGAAGAGTTTCCTGTGGGGGATTTGGAACACAGAGGTGTGGCTGCTTCCCTTCCTGTTGGAGCACCAGTAGCCACTGGAGCCCTGAGGCTCTCTGGTGAACAAGGCTGCTGTGGGACCCTCCCCACCTCAGCCCAGTGCCCCTCCTGTCCCTCGTCTCTCCACCACTGACTGAGGCACAGAAGAACAGTGAGGATGGACACCATGATGCCTGCTCTGCGTGCTCCAGCTGTGGGACAGGTGACCACATGGCCCTCCATGACAGACAGATGCACGGATGTGGTTAAGTCAGAGCCTGCTGCCGCCTGCCTGGGTCCCCACAGCTGTGAACCCACAGGAAGTGGACAGCCCCTTGCTGGGCCTGTCTCTTATTCCCCCCCCAGTGCAGGGGCTCAGGAGGACCCAGGCCCTCTGCACACATCTCAGCCCAGACCTGAGGTGTCCCCTGATTGCCAGGGATCCTTTGTCTGAAAACCTGCCCGTGGAGGGTGGACCCAACATCATATCTATGTCAGCTCCCAACTTAGCTGGGTCTAAACTGAAAACACAGCCCTTATTTTCTCAGAGCCTCCACTCATGACATCGGCTTTCTTTTTCCCCACTGATGCAAAGACAAATATTTCCCAGCAGAAAGTCATCCTGATCTGGAGAGACCCATTTCCTGCGTTCAGTAAATAAAGTCAGTTTCATTAGGGGAGGCTCTGGGAAAATAAGGGGATGCAGACTAGCAGAAGATGAACATTTAGCTACTTGTTTCTCAATTAATTGATTTATTACCAAAGAGAGAGAAGTGGAAACATGAGAATAGGGACCATGACTAGAATGTGGTTGAGGGAATGGTTTCTATCTTATTCCCTGGCAGAGAACTAAGGGATAAGAATGAGAAAGCTGGCTGGGTGCAGTGGCTTACACCTGTAATCCCAGCACTTTGGGAGGCCGAGGCAGGAAGATCACAAGGTCAGGAGTTCAAGACCAGCCTGACCAACATGGTGAAACCCCTGTCTCTACTAAAAATACAAAAACTAGCTGGGTGTGCTGGCATGCGCCTGTAATCCCAGCTACTAGGGAGGCTGAGGTGGGAGAATCGCTTGAACCTGGGAGGTGGAGCTTGCAGTGAGCCGAGATCGCGCCACTGCACTCCAGCCTGGGCAACAAAGCCGGACTGTCTCAAAAAAAAAAAAAAAAAAAAAAAAAAAGAAAGAGAGAAAACCCAGCAGTGAGAGGTAGTTGTGAGAACACACTAAAGAGGAAAGATAATCCAGGGCTGGGAGTGGTGGCTCATGCCTGTAATTCCAGCACTTTGGGAGGCTGAGGCTGGCAGATCACAAGGTCAGGAGTTCGAGACCAGCCTGACCAACATGGTGAAACCCTGTGTCTACTAAAAATGCAAAAATTAGCTGGGTGTGGTGGTGGGTGCCTGTAATCCCAGCTACTCAGGAGGCTGAGGTGGGAGAATCGCTTGAACCCAGGAGACGGAGGTTGCAGTGAGCTGAGATTGCACCACTGCACTCCAGCATAGGCAACAAAGCCAGACTCTGCCAAAAACAAAAACAAAAACAAAAACAAAAACAAAAAACAAGAAAGCTCAGTGAGAGGTGGTTGTGAGAACACACTAAAGAGGAAAGATCATTCAGGGCTGGGAGTGGTGACTCACGCCTGTAATCCCAGCACTTTGGGGGGCCACAGGCGGGTGGATTACCTGAGGGCAGGAGTTCAAGACCAGTCTGGCCAACATGGTGAAACCTCGTCTCTACTAAAAATACAAAAACTAGCTGGGTGTGATGGCGGGTGCCTGTAATCCCAGCTACTTGAGAGGCTGAGTCAGGAGAATCTCTTGAACCCAGGAGGCAGAGGTTGCAGTGAGCTGGGATCGTGCCACTGTACTCTAGCCTGGGTAACAGAGCAAGGCTCTGTCTCAAAAAAATAAAAATTAGAAAGAAAAAAGGAGAAGGAGAAGAGGAAGGAGACAGAAAGGAGAGAAACATCCCTGAGGTGGAACATTACATGCAACATGGAGTAGGCAGGGAATCCGATAGAGCACTGAAACTCTCGCTGGGTACGGTGGCTAACATCTGTACTCCCAGCACTTTGGGTGGCCGAGGTGGATGGATCACCTGAGGTCAGGAGTTTAAGACCAGCCTGACCAACATGGTGAAACCCCATCTCTACTAAAAATACAAAAGGCTGGGTGTGGTGGCTCACGCCTGTAATCCCAACACTTTGGCAGTCTGATACAGGCGGATCACATGAGATCAGGAGTTTGAGACCAGCCTGGCCAAGATGGCAAAACCTCATCTCTACTAAAAATACAAACATTACCTGGCTGTGGTGGCAGTCGCCTGTAATCCCAGCTATGCAGGAGGCTGAGGCAGGAGAATCGCTTGAACCTGAGAGGTGGAGGTTGCAGTGAGTCAAGATCGTGCCATTGCACTCCAGCCTGGCCAATAGGAGCAAAACTCCATGTGAAAATAAAATAAAATAAAATAAAATATAATAAAATAAAATAATAAATCAAAAAAGGACTGGACATCTCCTGTGGGTTGTCAGTGAATGGAACTAAGCAAGCCACCGCTCTTTCCCTTTTGTCCCGCAAGTGTCTTTCTTGGCCTCCAGGAAGTGAGTTCCATCATGTCAGACCCTATGTTTGTTCCTGCTGGGTTCACTGAGGCTCCTCCCTTTCCACCTGTGGCTCCCCATGGGTTCCCAGTCCCCAGCCAGTGTTGTGAATCGAGCCAGGAAGACCAGCCCTATCACACCCCTCCTGATGGAATTCCCACAGTGTCATCCTGGAGAACAGGGGCTGGGGGCTGGGGTAGGATCAGAGACCTTTTCATGTGGGCCAGGCCCCTCCCTCCACAGGAGCTCTGACACGAAGCTCATCACCATTCATTTCACCCTGACGATATTCTTCCTGCCCAGACACCCCCGTTCTCCCTATGTCATCATGGGCACCTCAGTGAAATCCATGGTTGAGGGTCTCTGTCACTTACTCTGCCCTCTTCTTGGAAAATTTCCTTGGATCCTTCCAGAGCCCTTCCTGAGTGTGCTGCAGGGTCTCTGCCACATGACACACTCTCAGGAACCCTCATCCTCCCCTTAATCTACTGCGCCCACATAGCCAGGTGCAGGCTCCGTTTCTTCATCTTCCCTTCCCCACAGGCCCCGATGGAGAGTGGATTAGACTCGCTCCTGAGTAGGGACTCAGGTCACTCTGACCCCTTCCTCCCTGTGGACGAGGCCTCTGTCCCAGAGCTTTGGAGGCTGAAGGGCCTTGTGGATTCCCGCACTGGCCACAGTCTCCGATGCAGATGGGGAACTGGGGACCTGGGAGGGGTTGCCTAGCCCAAGGCCACATAGCTGGGCGGTGGCACAGCCTTCACTCACACAGGGACATTCCATCTTCCCAGGGACTTCACACTGGAGGCTAAGAGCCCCACTTTGCACACCACATTCAGGGGTAGATTCTGTGTGTGACTAACAAGTTCTCTTAGGGTTCCGAGGTAACAGGACAGCAAATGGATGAGTGAGAGTTTCCCTCACCCCACTGAAGTAGGACCATTCTCTGTGGAGGGTTGGTCCCCTGACTTCCTCTACTCTGTCATCTCCCTAGTGACTGATAGGGGTCCTGGGGTCTCTTCCCTGGAATCCCATGAGGGACAATTCCTTTCCTGAAGGGAAGGTATAGAGAGGACTAGCAGGTGCCTGGTGATGGAAAGTCCCCATAATCAAGAGACATTGCCTCCCCCCCCCGGCATGATAAATATCTGGGTTTCCAAATGGGAAATCTGTCTGTGATGAGAGCTCAGGAGGGGCTTCTGGAAGATGGAAAAGGGCTAGAGGCTGAGGCCACTGCTTATCTCCCCACACTGTATCTGGCTTCACCTCCTGTGTTTGTCCTGACCTCTTCCTTCACTCACCTGGATAAGTAGGACCCCAAAGTGGGCCTCCAGACAGGAAGCAGTGGAGAGTGTGGAGCTGCCCTGTCTACCACCCTACACCCTGACACCACTGTCATACTCAACCTCTCTTTTCCTCTTTGTGTTTCTCATTGCTTCATTTTGTCTGGAATCCCTAAGATTCCCATGTCTCCAGCAGGCTGTCCCTCAGACGTGGCTATATGATTTAGTGTTTCACAGGGCATGCAGCAGGCATGGGCTACCCCCAGTAACAGTGGTCATCTAGGGCTGATCACTCACAGGCAGAGCCATCGACAGAGAGCTGCAGCATCTAGAGGTCCCATCACCAGCCCCAAGACCCAGAGAGAAGTTGGCCTGAATGCCCCACTCTGTCTCTGCACCCCAGTGAGCCAGTGTCCAGGGGCCTTACCTTCCTCGTTAGAAGGCACAGGTCAAATGAGCTTCCAGAGCTGCAGAGCAAAGTCACATTCTCTCCATCATTACTTACTGCAGGGCACAGTTGAGCTGAGAAGGAAGGTCTCTTGTAGACGCCTGGGGAAAAAAATAGTCCTTGACTGTCGAGCACAAGCCTTACCCAGCCTATCCTCAGGGCATGAAAAAGGCATTCTCTCCACCTGTTCTGGGGAGCACACTCTGTTACCCACTCGTGCCTCTCTCCATCTCAGTTCTAGCTCTACAAGCTGGCTCATCATGTGTGTGTTTTCCTGTCTGTCTTTGCTCAGCTTTTCCTTGAATCTCTTGCTTTTTGCCGGTGCGTGTGTGGCTTTCTGCCCTTAGAACCATATGAGATTTAGGGTTCTCCTGGCACATAGAACTGTTTACTTTGAGGACCCTCAGAAAACATAGCCCTGGGCTAAGGCTCCCTGTCCTGGAACTAGAAGGTTATGGGTGTCACCATTTCCCAACAGCATGTCTGAAAGTGCCAGAATCTTCAAAGAGTCTGCAACATGTTTGTAGGATCTTTATAGGGTCTGATATTGCAGGGACCAACCAAAGTGCCCTCACACCCCAAGACGCTGGAAGTGACCCCTTGCTGAAAGTGGTTGGAAGTTTCACATAGAAGTTTGAGTTAAGCCACATTGCTGAGCAATGCCTCAGCATCCCAGTCTTCATCCAGACCTTCCAGGAGCCTGGCTGGAGGGGGTGTCTCTGGTGTGTCACTGAGCCTTATAGCAGAGGAAGGGGGCTATGGTGGAAACTACCTCCAAGATACCACTCAGTCCTAAGCTGGGGAACAAGCTGAGCTTGGATTCTGGTAGTGAATGAACCGGGAAACATTTATTTGAAGGGTTCTAAGAGTAGCATCGTGTGGGTGCGTTAATTGTATGTGAAGGGGAAGATCCTGAGAAAACAAGAGCTGCTCCACTCTGTGCCTGGGTTTACCAGAGGGACCGATGAGGTCCTCACAAGACCCAGGAATCCCACCGGGGGAAGGAGGCTTAGGGAGATGTGTTTAAGACTGTTAAGTGAGTCACAGACAGAAGCAGATCAAGCCATCCCACCACCTAGGTTTGTGGTTTTGTTTCTCCTAAACTTCCTTTCTGTAAGTAGCAGAACCTTCTCATCACCATCCTTCAAAACCTCTGCATTGTTTGAGCTCCTTGTATTTTCTGGAGATTAATCTCTTGCTTGCAAATATTCTTTCCCATTCTGTAGGTGGTCTCTTCACTCTGCTGTTTGTTTCCTTGATTGTGCAGAAGGTTTGCAGTTTGCTATGATCTCATTTGCCTATTTTTGCTTTTGCTGCCTGAGCTTTTGAGGGTTTTTTTTTTTTGTTTTTTTTTTTGAGACGGAGTCTCGCTCTGTCACCCAGGCTGGAGTTCAGTGGCATGATCTCAGCTCATTGCAACCTCCGCCTCCCGGGTTCAAGTGATTCTCCTGCCTCAGCCTCCCTAGTAGCTAGGACTACAGGCGAGTGCCACCACACCCGGCTAATTTTTGTATTTTTAGTAGAGGCAGGGTTTCACCACGTTTGGCCAGGCTGGTCTCAAACTCCTGACTTCAAGTGATCCACCCACCTTGGCCTCCCAAAGTGCTGGGATTACAGGCGTGAGCCACTGCGCCCGGCGTTGTATTGGATTTTTAATTCAGCCCTATTTTCTCCGACATTTGATATTGGCATTTTTGTCTTTTTTGGATATGCTAGGATCATGGTGTCATAATTTAATTTTAATTTTTATTTTTATTTTAAGTTCCGGGGTACATGTGCAGAATGTGTGGGCTTATTGCATAGGTCAATGTGCGCCATGGTGGTTTCCTGCACCTGTCAACCCATCACCTAGGTATTAAGCCCAGCATACATTAGCTATTTTTCCTAATGCTCTCCCTACCCCTACCCCACCCCCCCCCCGACAGGCCCCAGTGTGTGTTGTTCCCCTCCCTGTGTTCACGCATTCTCATTGTTCAGCACCCACTTGTAAGTGAGAACATGCAGCGTTTGATTTCCTGTTCCTGTGTTAGTTTCCTGAGGATAATGGTTTCCAGCTCCATCCATGTCCCTGCAAAGGACATGATCTTGTTTCTTTTTATGGCTTCATAGTATTCCGTGGTGTATATGTCTCACATTTTCTTTATCCAGTCTATCATTGATGGGCATTTGGGTTGATTCTATGTCTTTGCTATTGTGAATAGTGCTGCGATGAACACATGTGTGCATGTATCTTTGCAATAGAATGATTTATATTCCTTTGGGTATACGCGCAGTAATGGGACTGCTTTTACCTGTGCCAAAATACTGAAGTAGAAATGATTATTCACTCTAAAATGGAAGGTAATAAGATGTATACGTGAGCTATCAGATGCCTGGTGCTTATGAGTGAAGACAAGTCTGTCCAACGCTTCCCAACCCTGCATTCAGGGATGTCTCGTTGGCATCTTGATTATGGCCATGAAAAAAGAATTTACGTCAAGGAAATTGGTAAATGCCACTAATCATAGCATTTCAAAAAATGTCTTTTTCAGAATTAGCATACCATTGGGTCGTGACTTCAAATGCCAGTGTGTTGATTCCAGGTGGTGATATTTCAGGAGAAACTACACAGATAGCATCTGATAAGGAGGGAAGAGCTCATAGGGTCCACACAGGAGGTGAGGGCATCACGGTGCATTTATCTTTTCCTGGTCGGACTCTGATCTTCTCCCGTTGAATTAGTTCCTAAACCAGGTGCGGAACTCTGAACTGAAGACATGAAGACCCAGTAAAGTACACCAGGAAGTGTGGCAATGAGAAATGAAGAGGACTGTGTGACACGCCATGGACCAGAGCATGCAGGTGTGCAGAGGTGTGGACCCAACGCTGCCATGTGGGATGGAGCCTCATGTCTAAGTGTGGGAAAAGAGGCAGATCCAACCAAGGAAAGTCAACATTAATGGAGAGGAAAGGTATCACATTTTAATGGTTCTCCATGGATCACCCCAGAAAATGTCCCTGCACTCGGACATTGATTCCTTCCTCTGGAAATGACCAGCAGACAGTCCAGATAGCATCGGCCCTAGATTTTCTTCCAGAACCTCCTGGGATCATCAGATCTGTTCCTGAGGCTTCACGACTCTATAAAGTACATTATCCTCTCTGCTGTTCACCTCCCGGCTGCATCTTGGGAAGCTTCTCTGGCTGTGCCAAGCCTCAAATGACAGAATCCCGAGGACCACCAGGATCAAGCCAGCCACGCCCATGTGGATGAGATTCTCCACTGCGTAATCCTGAAGGTGTGAGGCTGGGGATGGTGGACAAAGAGGTCACAGAGGTCAGGGTGGATCAGATTGTCCACCCAGGGCACCCACCTCCCCTTCACAGGACCCAACCCTCAGTGCCAGCCCCATCACTGAGAGTATCTCCTCACATACCAGTCTCAGAGTCAGACTTGTTTTGTGATGGGCTGAGGGTATCAGCTGCTCCAGAGAATCAAAACAGAGAAAAAGAGACCTGAGCCCAGCCTCTCACCTGGGCTCTGCAATTTTTTTTTTATTACTTAATGTCTCATGATGTGACTTTTACAGAATTTCTAAAAAAAAAAAAAAAAAACCTCTTCCTCCGCTAGCAGGATTCCCTCTAGTCTCCTCATTGAACGATTTCAGTTTTCCTGTGTTCTATGGATTTAAACATTGCTCCTGAGTCATCTGGGAGAGAGTTTTCCTGCATCCTGAGAGCTCAGGATCTGCAAGGAAAGTGGTCCCCAGTACAGAGGTCACTAAGGCCTGTGTGCTCTCTGTGCAGCCTGGGACACAGGAGAACATGAGCCAACTCCCCCGGAGATGAGAGTTTCACGGATCCACCAGCTGAGGACCCAGGCTCCGTGGATGAGGGTTAGTCATCAGGGGAGCCTCAATGTCAGAAGCACAAAGGGGTGAAATTCTGGGGCTGCCTCCCCTTCATGCCCTCAGCCACTTCACCTGGAGTTTCATTGTCCATTTAATCTCTAGGTAGCTAATTATTCGTATAGGCAGCAACAGGTAGAATGTGATACACACACAGAAAAACACAAACACAAATATATATCTGTTTTATATATATAGTGGGCCTTAAAAACTATCTCTGCCTTCTTGAAGTGTGGGTTCACCTGGAGACAAACAGCAAACATATAGAAACACAGCAGTGGAAATTTACTAGTCGTAGCAATGGTTTTAGATATATTGGTAGAGACCTATATTTATGTGTGAATATATATTATTTGTATAGATATACGGATAACTAGGTTTCAATGTCACGTAAGATGTTGGTGTGACCACACACGCGCACACACACACACACACGTATATGCAGAGAGTGGAAGAGAGAGAGAAGGAATTCAGCCGCATGGTGTAGGTTGGTTAATTACTTGACATAAATGAGAAGCAGGCAGGACTGGGCTGAGCTGTGTCGTCAGTGAAGGTCACACTTGGAGGTGACATTGAAGCTGATTCCTCAATAGGAAAAAGGGCCAGGAAGGAGGCGTGTGGAGACCCAGACAGGGAGCAACAGAGGCTCCAGAAAGAGCAGGTCCCAGAAAGGTCTCAGCCTGTTCTTCAGAAAGGAATGGCCGCTTGTCTACAGGGTGGAGGAGGAGGCAGAGGAGGAGGGGAGATGAGCTTCGGGGCCTTGGTGGATTGAGAATAGGCCAGGATGAACCGGCCAGGAAAGAGCGGCCCCAATATCTCTCTCTCTGTCTCTCTGTCTCTGTCTCTGCCTCTCTCTCCCTCCCTCTGAGGTCTGGAAAGTGCTGTAGGGTTTCAAGGAGTGGTACCAGTCATTTGACTTTTTCTGAAAAGATAAGCCCTACCCCCTCCATAGCAAATGTCCAGAACGAAGGAAGTCCACATTTCTACCTGAAGTTTACAAAACCTCAGGGAGCACGTGAGATCAGGGCTATTACGAAACCGGGTGAGAATAAAAATAGGTGATGCTGCAAATCTACTTTCACCAGCTTGGACAAAAAGGCCAATATGAGATTTTAAAAACCCAAATAAAAAATGTCAACGGCGCAGAAGAGGAGCGGTGCACATTCCCTGAGCTGCTGCGGGAGCACGTGCAAGTCCCTGTGAGGCTCAGGTGTGCGCTGAGTGCTGGGGAGGCTGCAGGGGAAAGCAGGAAGTGGGGCGGGGTGGGGGGGGGTCGGGGGTGGATGCAGGTGGCACCGGCAGCCTGGATGCTTCTCTCTCCAGGAGGGCGTCTGTTGGGGACTGGGACACAGAGGCTCTGATTCTGAGGTGGAGACACCAGGATGGGAGCAGGTGGGGCCTCCGTCTTCCACCCTCAGTCTAATCTCAACTCCTTTGAGGTTCACCCCCCGTCTCCTCCCAGCCCTCCCTGCACTTTACTCTACTGAGACTTCAGGGGTGGGAGCCAGGGGTGGGAGGTCCCTGTCTATTTCCATCTTCCCATGGGCTGGACCCTCCCCTGCGGACCCTCTCCCTTCACTCCCCTCTTTCCTTAGTGTCCAGAGCTCTGCTGGGGGCAGGGCCTGAGCTGAGCCTTTGAGCTCAGAGAGGACAGGGTCAGCGCCCTCACCTGAGACCACGAGCTCCACGGGGCCACTGGGGTGAGACAGCAGGTAGGGGTCGGAGCTGAGTGAGCCGTAGCACCTGTAGGTCCCCGTGTGGGCTGAGGTCACAGGACTCATGGGGAATTC